>NC_000009.12:39252424-39403939 GCF_000001405.40 Homo sapiens | reverse complement strand
ACCACTTAATAAAGAAGTCCTGGCTGGGCGCTCTGGCTCACGCCTGTAATCCCAGCACTTTGGGAGGCCGAGGTGGGCAGATCACGAGGTCAGGAGATCAAGACCATCCTGGCTAACATGGTGAAACCCCGTCTCCACTAAAAATACAAAAAATTACCTGGGCGTGGTGGCAGGCGCCTGTAGTCCCAGTACTCGGGAAGCTGAGGCAGGAGAATGGCGTCAACCCGGGAGGCGGAGCTTGCAGTGAGCGGAGATCGCGCCACTGCACTCCAGCCTGGGCGACAGAGCGAGACTCCATCGATGGCCTGATGGCCTGCAGGTGTCTGTTGGCCTGCTCTTCCGCCAGTGTGCTTTCGATGACCAGCTGCTTGTGTCTTCTTCTGCTGATGTGTTCCTTATGATGTCCAGCTGCTTGCGTCCCTGCCTTGCTAAGGTCTCTGGTTTTTATAGGCCCATGATGGGGGCATGGCAGGCCAGGGTGGTCTTGGAAAATGCTACATTTCGGCATGAAAGCAGAAGTGCCTGTCCTTACCTAGGTCCGTGGGGGTGGAGCCCTAGCCAGGGACCGTGCCCTCCTCTACCCAGCACTTCCCTTCTCCCCTTCCCTATCATTTAAAGGGACCACGCTCTTCCCTTCCCAGCACTTCCATATCAGTTTGGTACACAGGTAAACTTGTGTCATGGAGGTTTGTTGTACAGATTGTTTCATCATCCAGGTATTAAGCCTAATGCCCATTTGTTATTTTTCCCGTTCTTCTCTCTCCTCCTATCCTCCACCCTAATGTTTCCCTCTGTGTGTCCGTATGCTCTCATCGTTTAGCTCCCACTATAAGTGAGAACATGCCGTATTTGGTTTTCTGTTCCTGTATTAGTTTGCTAAGGATAATGGCCTCCAGCTCCATTAATGTTTGTGCAAAGGACATGATCTTATTCTTTTTTATAGCTGCATAGTTTTCCATGGTGTATATGTACTACATTTTCTTTATCCAGTCTATCATTGTTGGGCATTTAGGGTGATTCCATGTCCTTGCTGTTATGAATAGTGCTGCAGTGAACATATGTGTGTATGTGGCTTTATAATAAAATGATTTATGTTCTTTTGGGTATATGCCCAGTAATGGGATTGCTGGGCTGAATGACATTTCTGTCTTTAGGTCTTTGAGGAATCATCACACTGTCTTCCAAAATAGTAGAACTAATTTACACTCCCACCAACATTGTATAATTGTTCCTTTTTCTCCACAACTTCGCCAGCATCTGTTTTTTTTTTTTTTTTTTGCTTTTTGCTTTTTAATAATAGCCATTCTGATGAGAACACATGGACACATAGAGGGTAGCAACACACACTGTGGTATCTCAAAGGGTGGAGGGTGGGAGGAGGGAGAAGGTCAGGAAAGATACCTAATGAGTACTAGGCTTAATACTTGGGAGATGAAATAATCTGTACAATAACCCCCCATGTCACAGGTTTACCTGTATAACAAACCTTCACATGTAACCCTGAACTTAAAATAAAAGTTAAAAAAATAATTACCAATTAAAAGAAGAAATTTCAGGTTTTTAAAAAGAAATTGTAACAGTTCTGCTGAACAATGTTTCAGGATATCATTTTCTCTTAGAAAAACATGTATTCTGCTGCTGTTGGGTGGAGTGTTCTATAAATGTTAGGTATAGTTTATAATGTTTTATTATTTTAAAAAATCACCATTCTGACTGGTGTGAGATGGTATCTCACTGTGGTTTTGATTTGCATTTCTCTAATGATCACTGATATTGAGCTTTTTTCATATGATTGTTGGCCGCATGTATGTCTTCCTTTGAAAAGTATCTGTTCACATCCTTTTCTCACTTTAATGGGGTTGGTTTTTTCTTGTAAATTAGTTTAAGTTCCTTATAGATGCTGGGTATTGGACCTTTGTCAGATGCATAGTTTGCAAATATTTTCTTGCATTCTGTAGGTTGTCTGTTGACTCTGTTGATAGTTTCTTTTGCTGTGCAGAAGGTCTTTAGTTTAATTAGATCCCATTTGTCAATGTTTGTTTCTGTTACAATTGCTTTTTGTGTCTTTATCATGAAATCTTTGCCTGTGACTGTTCTGAATGGTATTGCCTAGGTTGTCTTCCAGGATTTCTATAGTTTTGGGTTTTACATTTAAGTCTTTAATCCATCTTGAGCTAATTTTTTTATATGGTGTAAGGAAGAAGTTCAATTTCAATCTTCTGTGTATGGCTAGCCAGTTATCCTAGCACCATTTATTGAATAGGGAATATTTTCCCCATTGCTTGCTTTTGTCAGGTTTGTTGAAGATCAGATAGTTGTAGGTGTGTGGTCTTACTTGTGGGTTCTCTATTCTGTTCCATTGGTTTATGTGTCTGTACCAATAATAAATTTGTACAAATAAATTTGTACCAGTACTATGTTGTTTTGGTTACTGTAGCCCTGTAGTATAGCTCAAAGTCGGGTAGCGTGATGCCTCCAGCTTTGTTGTTTTTGCTTAAGATTGCCTTGGCTATTCGTGCTCTTATTTGGTTCCATATGAATATTAAAAGAGTTTTTTTATAGTTCTGTGAAGAATGTCAGTGATAGTTTAACAGGCATAGCATTGAATCTGTAAATTGCATTGGGCAGTATGGCCATTTTAACAATATTGACTCTTTTTTTCTCTCTCTCTCTTTTGAGATGGAGTCTGGCTCTGTCGCCAGGTTGGAGTGCAGTGGCACAATCTTGACTCACTGCAACCTCCGCCTCCCAGATTCAAGCGATTCTCCTGCCTCAGCCTCCCGAGTAGCTGGGACTACAGGCGCACAACACCATGCCCAGCTAATTTTTGTATTTTTAGTAGAGACGGGGTTTCACCATGTTGGCCAGGATGGTCTCAATCTCTTGACCTCATGATCTGCCCACCTCAGCCTCCCAAAGTGCTAGGATTACAGGTGTGAGCCACTGTGCCTGGCCAACAATATTGATTCTTCTTATCCATGGGCATAGAATGTTTTTCCATTTGTTTGTGCCTTCTCTGTTTATTTGAGCAGTGGTTTGTAGTTCTCCTTGTAGAGACCTTTCACCTCCCTTGTTAGCTGTATTCTTAGGTATTTTATTCTTTTTGTTGCAGTTGTGAATGGGAGTTTGTTCCTGATTTGGCTCTTGGCTTGACTTTTGTTGGTGTATAGGAATGCTAGTAATTTTTGCACATTGATTTTGTATCCCGAGATTTTCCTGAAGTTGCTTATCAGCTTAATAAGCTTTTGGGTTGAGACTATGGGGTTTTCTAGAAATATGATCATGTCATCTGCAAACAGGGATAATTGACTTCTTCTCTTACTATTTGAAAGTTCTTTATTTCTTTATCTTGCCTGATTGCCCTGGCCAGAACTTCCAATACTATATTTAATAGGAGTAGTGAGAGAGGGCAACCTTGTCTTGTGCCAGTTTCCAAGGGGAATGCTTCCAGCTTTTGCCCATTAAGTATGATATTAGCTGTGGGTTTATCATATATGGTGCTTATTCTTTTGAGGTATGTTTCTTCAATACCTAGTTTATTGAGAGTTTTTAACATGAATGAATGTTGAATTTTATTGAAAGCCTTTTCTGTATCTTTTGAGATAATCATATGGTTTTGGCCTTTAGTTCTGTTTATGTGATGAATAACATTTATTGGTTTGTGTAGGTTGAACCAACCTTGTATCCCGGGGATGAAGTCTACTTGACCGTGGTGGATACGCCTTTTGATCTGCTGCTCAATTCGGTTTGCCAGTATTTTGTTGAGGATTTTTGCATCAACATTCATCAAGAATATTGGCCTGAAGTTTTTTGTTGTTGTTGTTGTTGTATATCTGCCAGGTTTTGGTATCTGGATGATGCTGGCCTCATAGAAGGAGTTTGGGAGGAATCCCTCCTCCTCAACTTTTTTGAATAGTTTTGGTATGAGTAATACCAGCTCTTCTTTGTACATCTGGTAGGATTCAGCTGTGCATCTGTCTGGTCCTGGGCCTTTTTTGGTTGACAGGCTACGTATTACTGATTCAAGTTTGGAGCTTATTTTTGGTCTGTTCGGGGACTCAATTTCTTCCTGGTTCAGTCTTGGGAGGGTGTATGTGTCCAGGCATTTATCCATTTCTACTAGATTTTCTAGTTTATATGCATAGAGGTGTTCATAATATTCTCTGAGAGTTATTTGTATTTCTGTGGGGTCAGTGGTAATATTGCCCTTGTTGTTTCTGATTGTTTATTTGAATCTTCTTTCTTTTCTTTTTTGTTAGTCTAGCTAGTGGTCTATTTTAATTTTTTCAGAAAATCATCTCCTGGATTTCTTGATATTTTGAATGTTTCTTCATGTCTCTATCTCCTTCAGTCTGCCTGTGTGCAGTTCTAGTTTCAGTCTGTTTTAGAGATCAAGCTTGAATACATAAGAAGAAAGAAGAAGACTGAGAAGAAGGAGAAGGAGGGGTGGAAGAGGAGGAATAAGAGAGGAGAAATAAGAAGGAGAGAGAGAGGGAGGGAGGAAGAAGGGAAAGAGGAAGGATGATGAGAGGGAGGGAAGGAAAGAGGAAGGGAAGGAAGGAGGAAATCAAGTTAGGCAAATCACCGCTAGGTCATCCTTCAGGTCCTGAGCTCCATACCAAGTTCAGGGGTACATGTGTAGCTATTGAAATGGGAAAGGTTCCCTTGTCCCTTTTGCAGGGCATGTGATGGAGGTGTGGCTTGCTTCTTCAGTGCTTCAGTGCCCCACTGGTCAAACCTCTAGGGGAGCATACAGACAGGCTGTGGGGCTTCAACCCCATGGCAATGTCTAGGGGTGAATGTTTACTACTCTTATCCAACGTTCAGAGTCTTCTGTTAGTAACATTATGCATTTTGACCATGATTATCAGTGTAATCAGTAGATAAGGCAGAATGTGTTTACTCGATCTGAACCAAACTGGAACTCTGCAATTGGGGTGTGTGCAACTGTGCACCTTCAAAATGTCCATGTTGAAATTTTAGAGCAACTGATTAATATGACCAAAAGTACTTAAGAGAAAAGTTTCAAAACACTAATTCTAATTATACCAGCTCTTGTTCTTTTTTATGTTCATGCTTAATATTTTCCTTCTTTATTTATTTTATTTTTTATTTTTTTGAGACAGAGTCTTGCTCCACCCAGGCTGGAGTGTAGTGGTGCAATCTCAGCTCACTGCAATCTCTGCCTCCTGGGTTCACGCAATTCTCTGCCTCAGCCTCCCGAGTAGCTGGGATTACAGGTGCCTGCCACCGGTCGTAACTAGTTTTTGTATTTTTAGTAAAGATGGGGTTTCGCCATCTTGGCCAAGCTGGTCTTGAACTCTTGACCTCATAATACACCTGCCTTGGCCTCTCAAAGTGCTGGGATTACAGGCATGAGCCACCATGCCCAGCCATACTTAATATTTTAATTTCAAATTTTATATATGAATGTATGTATGTGTCAGTATATATATTCTATGTACATATTGTGTGTGTGTGTATATATATACACACACACAGAGAGAGAGAGAGGGAGGAAGGATATAAAAATTATATCAAAGAAGAATGTAGTGCTATTTAAACCAAAGAACACACGCACAACTCTTACTATTATAATCATAGAAAAAAATTAACTGACATTAAAGGGCATTTTAAATGTTCATATATTTTGTCTCTTTTACTCAGCTACTAAAATACTCAAAATGTGGTAAGATTCTCTAATGTTTATATAGTAGAGGTTTTTTGTTTAACTAGTTGAGTTGGATTGCTTATCATACAATTGAGAGCTTCGAATATCAGAACAGTTACTTACATGCCAAAATTGCTTATGAATGTTCTGTCATGTCAAAGTTGTTCCATTACCATATAGAAGTAAACTCTGATCTGTATAGATACTACCAGATGGGTGTGGTGGCACATGCCTGTAGTCTCAGTTACATGGGAGGCTGAGGTGGAAGGGTCACCTGAGCCTGGGAGGTTGAGGCTGCAGTGAGCTGCGATCACACCACTGTACACCAGACTGAATGACAGAGTGAGACCCTGTCTCAAATGAAAAATAAAATGATATTACTAGAATATACTTGTCTAAACTTTTACTTTGAGAAAACAGAGAATCAAACACATTGTTCTCACGGTGTTAACTTTCAAAGAAATGATCTGTAATTTATCTGGTGGAATTCAATGCAGTTATTTTGTTTATAACATTTTTCAAAAGCTACGGTTTTCCCTGGGTGTGTGTGGGCACAATGCCATTGCGATAACACTCATCTTTTGCAGAGTGCTGAAAGAGTGAGCCAGGACAGCCTTTCGACATTGAACAAGGCAATTCCCAATCTCTTGGTGGGTGAATGGAGGAAGAGTGATATCCTGATTGATGCCTCCACAATTACTTAAAAATATATGGACACTCTAGAAAATTACTCTTTTTGGACCATCCCCTCAGGTCCCTTAAATATCTGTGTCCCTTAAATATCTGTGTCCCTTTACTGAGCAGCAATTTGGGTCAGAAAAAATGGGCTCTGAGGATGCTCAGAAACAAAAGTGTTTTGGGGAGTAAGATATGGTTCTCAAGGCCTGGAGAGGCAAACCATGTCCAGAAAAGGTCCCTGATGATAGAACTCCCTGAGTATTCTTGCAGAAATGAATATCCACCAGGCTTCTTCTTTTTTTTTTTTTTTTTTGAGATGGAGTCTGTCTCTGTCGCCCAGGCTGGCGTGCAATGGTGGGATCTTGGCTCAATGCAAGCTCCGCCTCCCAGGTTCACGCTATTCTCCTGCCTCAGCCTCCCAAGTAGCTGGGACTACAGGTGCCTGCCACCATGCCCAGCTAATTTTTTTTGTATTTTTCGTAGAGACGGGGTTTCACCGTGTTAGCCAGGTTGGTCTCGATCTCCTGACCTCGTGATCCACCCGCCTTGGCCTCCCAAAGTGCTGGGATTACAGGCGTGAGCCACCGCGCCCGGCCCCTTGTTTTTCAATCACAAGATATGAGTCATTGCAGGAAACAAATAAAATGGAACCAACACAGAGAAAGGTAGAGATGGAAGAGGTAAGACTAAATTCTAGAGATGCTGCTTATGCCCTAAGGTCTGTCCTTTAGCATTTTGTAACATGAGTTAAAGTACGTTTGAGTTGTGTCTTTGTCATTTGCATCCAACAGAGCCCTGGCTGTGTTCACTGAATGGATCTAGTCTCTGAAAATTCACCGACATTTTTGGCTTGGCGCTGTGGCTCATGCCTGTAATCCCAGCACTTTGGGAGGTTGAGACGGGAAGATTACGAGGTCAAGAGATCAAGACTATCCTGGGCAACATGATGAAACGCTGTCTCTACTAAAAACACAAAAAATTAGCTGGGTGTGGTGGTGCGAGCCTGTAGTCCCAGCTACTCAGGAGGCTGAAGCAGGAGGATTGCTTGAACCCAGGAGGCGGTGGTTGCAGTGAGCCAAGGTGGCGCCACCGCTCTCCAGCCTGGCAACAGAGCGTGACTCCATCTCAAAAAAAGAAAAAAAAAAATTTCAGGGATATTTATGTAGTGACCTGTTATTTAATTTTTCAATAATATAAATCTGTTTCAAGAAAAAGAAATTTTAAATAAACTCTTATGATTTTCTTTCTCCTGAAAATTATTCCAGAACTTAAAAAAAAAGAAGAAACAAAACAGAGTAAGTACATTAGCTTTATTCAACATAGCATCTTGTCTAGTAGTAAACTACTAAAAACAGTCTCCTGAGTGGAAAAAATATAAATTTTTGTCTATAGCATCAGCGTTGTCCTGCGTGTTCTCATTATTTTCTCCAAATAAATTGGCTCAATATGCTGCTAAGTATTACCATTTATGTTTATTTTGAAGTTCTATATCTTGTCTTTCCTGTTTCATCTGTAAACAGGCAATTATTGCCTCAGTGTGTATTCTGATACATTTTCTCTCTAAATCTATTGTCCAACATCTTGCATATAAAATCTGGCTTTTCTCTCATATATCAAAATCACAGGTCACATAGTCTCAGTGCCAAGAGTTATAAGAACAACTACTTTATTTCACTCCCATCTCTGTGAATACAAAACTTCAATCTCTAAAGTATTTTGTATCTATTTATAACACTATGTTCCTGGTTTATTATTATATTATTTCATTATTAGTTCTTAAAAACTTAACAAGGTGCTGAATAATTTTGTGAAATATTCCATGGAGAACTACCATTAAAATAGTGATTACTTTAATTATATTTCATCACCTCATTTCACAAGTCATTACAAAACTTCTTAATTGTTTAAAAATGAATGTACTTGGGTGGGGCACAGTGGCTCACACCTGTAGTCCCAGCACTTTGGGAGGCCGAGGAGGCCAGATCACCTGAGGTCAGGAGTTTGAGACCAGCCTGGTCAACATGGTGAAACCCCGTCTCTACTCAAATTACAAAAATTAGCCAGGCATGGTGGCACACGCCTGTAATCCCAGCTACTCAGGAGGCTGAGGCAGGAGAATTGCTTGAACCCAGGAGATGGAGGTTGCAGTTAGCCGAGATCATGCCACTCCAGCCTGGCCGACAGAGCAAGACTCTAACAAAAAAAAAAAAAAAAAAAAAAAAAGGAATGTGCTTATCAGTCCAAGGGAAATAACTATCAAATTAGTCACTGCCCAAGTGTACGTCTTTTAGTGAACACAAATTGAGAATTTAGCACTGAATCTCCAAAGATTTAGTTTTTATCTAGGTTTTGAAATTGAATTTTGTTTTGTTTTGTTTTTTGTTTTGAGACAGTGTCGCTCTGTCGCCCAGGCTGGAGTGCAGCCGCGCAATCTCGGCTCACTGCAGGCTCCGCCCCCCGGGTTCACGCCATTCTCTCGCCTCAGCCTCCCGAGTAGCTGGGACTACAGGCGCCCGGCGAATTTTTTGTATTTTTTGTAGAGACGGGGTTTCACCGTGTTAGCCAGGATGGTCTTGATCTCCTGGCCTCGTGATCCGCCTGCCTGGGCCTCCCAAAGTGCTGGGATTACAGGCGTGAGCCACCGCGCCCAGCCTGAAATTGTATTCTTAAGTCTCAGAAGGCTGAAGCTTTCAAGACAGGAAGAAGACAGGGATTCCCGAGTTGAACAGAGAGTGGGCCGGGCGCAGTGGCTAACGCCTGTAATCCCAGCATTTTGGGAGGCCGAGGCGGGTGGATTCCGAGATCAGGAGATCAAGACCATCCTGGCTAACACAGTGAAACCCCATCTCTACTAAAAATACAAAAAATTCGCCGGGCGTGGGGGCTTACGCCTGTAATCCCAGCTACTTGGGAGGCTGAGGCAGGAGAATGGCGTGAACCTGGGAGGTGGAGGTTGCAGTGAGCCGAGATCAGGCCACTGCCCTCCAGACTGGGCGACAGAGCGAGACTGTGTCTCAAAAAAAAAAAAAAAAAAAAAGGCCGGGCGCGGTGGCTCACGCCTGTAATCCCAGCACTTTGGGAGGCTGAGGCGGGTGGATCACAAGGTCAAGAGATCGAGACCATCCTGGCCAACATGGTAAAACCCCGTCTCTATTAAAAATATAAAAATTAGCTGGGCGTGGTGGCAGGCGCCCGTAGTCCCAGCTACTCCGGAGGCTGAGGCAGGAGAATCGCTTGAACCCGGGAAGTGGAGGTTGCATTGAGCCGAGATCATGCCATTGCACTCCAGCCTGGGCAACAGAGTGAGACACCCTCTCGAAAAAGAAAAAACAAAAACAAAACAAAACAAAAAGATAGTAAACAAGAAAATACTAATGTAGTTGTTAACTTTGAGAAGGCAGTAATTTAAGACATGGATGTGAATGCAGATAATGGAAGTAAGGAGAGATCAGTGTAGGCCACAGTCCTGTGCTGAGTGCTGTCTTTACCTGTCTTGTAGGGATGGCTCAGACAAAGTCTTAACAAACAGGCAAATGACTGATTTATCTTTTTAGATTCTAAAGTTCATAAGAATAATAATGAGCTTTATAGTTGACAATAGCTAACTAAAATTTGGTCTAAGGGGAAAAGAGCGCTCAATGTTAATCAGTCAGTTTAATCTTTCTGTAAACCCTCTCAAAAAGCAAAATTGAATTAGATCATTGTGGTGCACAGATTCTTTTGGTATGTGTGTCCCACCTATAATAAAGTTCTGGGCCAGGCGCGGTGGCTCACGCCTGTAACCCCAGCACTTTGGGAGGCCGAGGCGGGCGGATCACAAGGTCAGAAGATCGAGACCATCCTGGCTAATGCGGTGAAACCCCGTCTCTACTTAAGAAATACAAAAATTGGCCGGACGTGGTGGCGGGCGTCTGTAGTCCCAGCTACTCAGGAGGCTGAGGCAGGAGAATGGCGGAGCTTTCAGTGAGCCGAGATCACACCACTGCACTCCAGCCTGGGCGACAGAGCCAGACTCCGTCTCAAAAACATAAATAAATAAAATAATAAATAAATAAAGTTATTGGCCAGGAGCAGTGGCTTACACCTGTAATCCCAGCACTTTGGGTGGCCGAGGTGGGTGGATCACCTGAGGTCAGGAGTTCAAGACCAGCCTGGCCAACATGGTAGAACTTCCCTCTCTACTAAAAATACAAAAATTAGCCAGGCATGGTGGCGCAAATCTGTAATCCCAGCTACTCAGGAGGCTGAGACAGTAGACTCGCTTGAATCCAGGAGGCAGAGGTTGCAGTGGGCCGAGATTGCACCACTGCACTCCAGCCTCGGTGACAGAGTGAGATGCCGTCTCAAAAAAAAAAAAAAAATTTATCTGAGGACTGACCCCACAATGGTGAGCCCTGCCTGCCATGTTTGTGTTATGGAATCATGTCCCATACCTGACCCTATTTATTTAAAGGTAGAACAACTGACCCAACCACATTTTCTCTTTAAAATGTGGGAATTGGGATTGAGAGATACTGGTCTTTCCCTATGGGTCATTTCAACTTAGAATATTTAAGTTTGGGATCGTTGGTGCTTCCATATTTAACCAGCAGCTTAGAAAAGCAGACATAGTCAATCTGTGGAAAGAAAAGCTGAAGTGATGTGGAGAGAGAAGTTGTGAAAAGCGATCAGAGCGCCTGGGAGAGATTTACTTAGGGTAGCTGGAGCTGTTCCTGGAGCTCTTTCCAGACTTTGGTTCTAGCTCTTGAAGCTACCAGGCTTCCAGCCTTTAGAATAATTCCATTTTAACCTCAGAGATTTTGCGCTGGTTCAACACCAAACAAAAGAACACTGAATAAGACAGTAATGTGAGTAGAAAATTCTATGAAATAGAAAAGAAACTTAATGATGCGTCATAGGCCATTGATATTCACTTTCCTCCGTCCCATGTATATAGATCACTTCGCCTCTTCCAAAATTCTTATTTCATAATAAAGATTAACTAGTTATTTAAAAGTTAACCATAGCCTATTTATTGTTTATTAACAAATGTGTTTAAAAGGATCAGGTGCTAAACCTTGGAAGAATATTAAGGCAAGATGTTATGAGATCACAGAAGCTTAGTGCTGAAGGGTGCATGCCTTCACGTGGGTACAGATTCCTCTCTGAGTGCTCATTCACCCATTGTGGTGTGAGCCCTGTGTGAAAACTCTTCAGATGCAGACATGAATAAGACAAGGTGTCTGCTCAAAGTCAACTAGAGGAGACAGTAAGCAAATAATTAGAATGTGGAACATGCCATAATCGAAGTGGATGGGTGTCATGGGAGCACAGATCATGGGGTATCTAACTTTGCTTTGGAGGTTAAAGTATAGCAGTCGTGAAGACTTCAAAGGGGAGGTGGATTTTTATTGGAACTGTTGAGAATAAACAAGGATATACATATTTTCAACTATGGCCTGAGGGTATATGAGCTTTAAGAGCTGAACTGTTGGGGGCATTCCAGACCAAGAGGAAGTCGTGGGCAGAGGCAGGAAGGTGAAAGGAGTATGCTGATTTTGGGAGAAGCATAGTTAGTGCAGAGGGGCTATGACTCAGGGCACACAGGGTGGCAGAGTGTGTCCGGGAGATGAAACTGGCTTACAGGCAGGAAGTGAGGAACAAAGGACCTTCTGAACTTCTTATGGAATTTAGACTTCTATAGATAACAGAGAATCACTGTATGAATACACTCTCATACATTCTTTGAGAGAAAACACATTCATTTTTGAGAATCCTCATTCCTGAGTTCTTCTTTTTGTCTGTGGTACAGCTTCCTGCAGCCCCATCCACCAATTACAGACCTATCTTCTTAGTGTGAGTCTAATGTCTCCTCCATGGGAGGGAGCTGTAGAATTTAAAGTTGACCATCCTGCTCATGCCTGAGTTTTCTCTCTCCTGCAACTAATGCCTTCCTCTCTGTCTGAGACCTGGCATGTCAGGGTAGAAGGCCCTTCACCCTCCTTCTCTTGACAAACTCTGATTTATTGACATCTTACTGAATATCCAATGGCTGGAACTGGGATCAAGCTCTTCAGTGTGGTCTAAAAGCTGGGGGCAGGAGAGACCTCACTCCCTTCAAACTCACTAAGATATGAGGTGACCTCATTATACCACAGGCTTTTGTCAAGGCCACAGGGACATAAACTCAGGTCACTTTTGTTTCACAGGCGTTATTCTAATATTTGTGTTTTTTTGTTTGTTTGTTTGTTTTTTGAGATGGAGTCTCACTCTGTCACCCAGGCTGGAGTGCAGTGGCACGATTCGGCTCACTGCAGCCCCGCCTCCTGGGTTCAAGCGAATCTTCTCCCTCAGCCTCCCGAGTAGCTGGGAGCACAGGTGCACACCACCACACCCAGCTAATTTTTGTATTTTTAGTAGAGACAGAGTTTCACCATATTGGCCAGGCAGGCTGGTCTCGAACTGCTGACCTCATGATCTTCCCACTTCGGCCTCCCAAAGTGCTGAGATTACAGGTGTGAGCCACCACGCCCAGCCTAAATTTGTGTATTTTTAAACTAAAGTGTCAAACTACATTTATCGCCCTCTTCTTAGTTTGGAAAAGTGCTTTGTTTCTGTTAAGATTGTTTTAGGTTTTATCTCTTCACCACACACAGGCTGCTCCTTCCAGTTCAGTATTAGCTGAGGATTTCATTTCAGTCCTCATACAGAGCAGTGATAACAGCTGAATAAACCAGAGCTGAAAGTGGGCCCATGTCCCTCTTTCCTACCTTTCTTTCACACCTGAGTCTGATTGAGTGCAGTATGCAACTTGGATGAGCGTGTATATGCAAAGTGCACGTCAGCAATGACCATAGCTGGAACAGGATGGAGCTAGCCACCTCTTTATCATCTCCCTGCTCATTCTTTGATGCAGAAAACTAACCTTGTCTCAAGCATGTGTAAATAATTCATGCAAAGTTACAAGACATGGTTCAAGTCATGTCCCCTCCAACCACATCAGCACCATGAGCAGTCCTTGAGGGTCTTCAGATAATAACAACACTAAGAGTTAGCATATGTTGAATGCTGTACTATGTATATCATTCTAAGGGGAGAAGCTATGTAGAACCAAAAGTAAGCACAGGCAGCTTCAAGCAGCACAGAGAAACACAACACAGGAGGTGGCTTATTTGATTGTCATTGAAGTTGTGAAAAAGTGTTAAAAACAATAAATACAATAGTTTAAAAAAGAAACAAGGAAAGTATTATATACCATAACAAAGTGGGATGTACTCCGGAATGCAAGCCTAGTTCAACAGTCGAAGATCAGTCCATTATACCAATGGGTTAAAGAAGAAAAATCATGTAATCTTATCAATAGATGCATAAAAAGAATTTGACAATATCTAACAATCATTCATGATAAAAACTTTCAGCAGGCTGGGTGTGGTGGCTCATGCCTGTAATCCCAGCACTTTGGGAGGCCAAGGCAGGCAGATCACGAGGTTAGGAAATCGAGACCATCCTGGCTAACACAGTGAAACCTCATCTCTACTAAAAATACAAAAAAAAAAAAAAAAAAAAAAAAAATTAGCCGGGCATGATAGCGCGCACCTATATCCCAGCTACTCAAGAAGCTGAGACAGGAGAATCGCTTGAACCCAGGAAGCGGAGGTTGCAGTGAGCCGAGATCACACCACTGCACTCCAGCCTGGGGGACAGTGTGAGACTCTGCCTCAAAAAACAAAACAAACAAACAGACAAAACAAAAACTTTCAGCAAACTAGCAATAGAGAGAAACTTCTTCAAATTGATTTTTTAAATCTAAAAAACCCCTCCACTTAACATGATACTCAAGCCTGAAAAGTGAGATACTTTCCCACTAAGAACAGGAACAAAACAAGGATGTCTCCTCTTATCACTCTTATTTAACTTTGTGTGGAAAGTCCTAACTAATGCAATAAGACAGAAAAAAGAAATAAAAGGTATACAGATAAGAAAGGAAGTGATAGCGGGGCGCAGTGGCTAACGCCTGTAATCCCAGCACTTTGGGATATCGAGGGAGGCGGATCACGAGGCCAGGAGATCGAGACCATCCTGGCTAACATGGCGAAACCCCGTCTCTACTAAAAATACAAAAAATTAGCCGGGCGTGGTGGCGGGTGCCTGTAGTCCCAGCTACTCGGGAGACTGAGGCAGGAGAATGGCGTGAATCTGGGAGGCAGAGCTTGCAGTGAGCCGAGATCGAGCCACTGCACTGCAGCCTGGGAGACAGAGCGAGACTCTGTCTCAAAAAAAAAAAAAAGAAGAAAGGAAGTGATAAAACTGTCTTTGTTCATATATGCCATGAGTGCCTATGTAGAAAATCACAAAGAATAAACAAAAAACTCCTAGAATGAATTCTATGTATATAATCTTTTATAAGTTATTACAGCAAGGATGAAGGATACAAAGTTAATTTAAAAAAGTCATTTCTTTTTCTATATGCCATCAATGAACAGTTGAAATTTAAAATTAAAAACACAGTGCCATTTACATTAGCACCAAAAATGAAATACTTAGGTATAAGTCTAACAAAATATGTGTAGTATCTATCTGAGGAAAACTATGAAAATCTGATGAACGAAACCACAGAAGATCTAAAAAATCAACTTACTGCATGTTAATGAATAAGAAAATTCAATATTGTTAAGATATCAGTTCTTTCAACTTGATCTACAGATCAGTATTGGGATCAATGCAGTACTTATCAAAATCCAAGCAAGCTACTTTGTAGATATTGACTAGCTGACTCCAAATCTATAGAAAGTCACGAGATGCAGAAAAGCCAACATAATATTAAAGAAGAACAAAATTAGAGAACTAATGCTTACTGACTTCAAGACTTACTGTAAACTTACAGTAATCAAGAGAGTGTGGTATTGGTAAAGAATAGACAAATAGATCAATGGAATAGAACACAGAGTACAGATAGAGACCCTCACAAATATAGTCAATAGATCTTTGACAAATAAGCAAAGGTAATTCAATGGGAAAAAGATATGCTTCTTAACAAATGGTGTTAAAACTACTGGACAACCACATGTAAAAAAATGAATCTAGATACTGACCTTACACTTCTCACAAAAATTAACTCAAAATGGATCATAGACTTAAATTCAAAGGCAAAACTATAAAACTTCTAAAAGATAGCAGGAGAAAATACAGGTGACCTTGGGTTTGACTATGAGTTTTTAAATACAACCCTATAGTGTGACCTATAGAAGAAAAACTTGCTAAGTGGGACTTTATTATAATTAAAAAAATAAAAAAACTTCTACTGCATGGGTGACACTGTTAAAAGAATTAGAAAACAAGTCACAGGGAGGGAGAACATATCTGATAAAGGGCTAGTATTCAAAATATACAGAGAATACTTGAAACTCTACAATAAGAAAACAAATAATCCAACTTAAAAGTGGGCAAAAGGCCGGGCGTCGTGGCTCACACCTGTAATCCCAGCACTTTGGGAGGCAAAGGTGAGAGGATCACGAGGTCAGGAGTTCAAGACCAGCCTGAACAACACAGTGAAACCTCATCTCTACTGAAAATACAAAAATTAGCTGGGCCTGGTGGCACGTGCCTGTAATCCCAGCTACTGAGGAGGCTGAGGCAGGAGATTTGCTTGAACCTGGGAGGCGGAGGTTGCAGTGAGCCAAGATCACACCACTGCACTCCAGCCTGTGTGACAGAGCAAGACTGCATCTCAAAAAGAAACAAAAAAAAGTAGCTGGAATCATACAGTATATATGTTGATATTATTTTTCCAGCTATATTATAAACTCCACATGGGCAACGTATATTCCCTACCTTATATAATGTATAATATATACAATATGTACCTGGTATAATGTATAATATGTACATATTTAATAAACACTCATTATAAATATTCACAAATAAATATACATAATAAATGTTCTCTAATCAACCACATAGAGTTTTTTTTAACACCTTTGAATAATGCAATAGGAACAATCTATTAAAATAAAACAGAAAAATATTCAAATTTAAATGAAACAAAGCAACTGCCAAATTATTAAATCCAAGTTCCTTATTTTAGGGGTCAAATGCAAATATTCTTATAGCTTTTATTGCACATACATGTTGGCGGTCATGGTAAAAGAAGATACAACTCTCAACTTCAATAAAATGTATTTCAATATTCAATAAAATTTCAATATTATAAGGAAACCAAAATGTTGTGTTAGTACCAGGACAGTTGCGTGTGTACGTACTTGTGATTTCTTTTTCTTTCTTTCTTTTTTTTTTTTCTGAAATGGAGTCTTGCCTTGTTGCCCAGGCTGGAGTGCAGTGACGCCATCTCAGCTCACTGCAAGCTCCGCCTCCCAGGTTCACGCCATTCTCCTGCCACAGTCTCCCGAGTAGCTGGGACTACAGGCGCCCGCCACCATGCCCGGCTAATTTTTTGTATTTTTTTTTTTTAGTAGAGACGGGGTTTCACCGTGTTAGCCAAGGTGGTCTCGATCTCCTGACCCCACGATCCACCCGCCTCCCAAAGTGCTGGGATTACAGGCGTGAGCCACTGCGCCCGACCCATACTTGTGATTTCACGTGCACAGTGAGAGTTTGACTCTTTCATCCTCGCCCAAATACTTTTTCATCCCATGACTGTTGGGCTTTTTTTTCCCTTTCTTTCTTTCTTTTTTTAAGATTGCAACTCTATCAATACTGGGATGTCTATTCAAGCTAGCTAAATATGTTGATTAACTTCTCCACTCCCAGCACCTCCTAGAATCCCACTGCAATAACAACAAATAAGAACAAAGGGGCCGGGCGCATTGGCTCAAGCCTGTAATCCCAGCAGTTTGGGAGGCCGAGGCGAGTGGATCGCTTGAGGCCAGGAGCTCAAGACCAGCCTGGCCAACATGGCAAAACCCCGTCTCTACTGAAAATATAAAAATTAGCCAGGCGTGTTGGTGCGCGCCTGTAATCCCAGCTACTCAGGAAGCTGAGGCAGGAGAAGAGCTTGAACCTGGGAGGCGGAGGTTGCAGTGAGCCCAGATAGCGCCAGTGCACACCAGCCTGGGCCACAGAGTGAGACTCTGTCTCAAAAAATTAAAAGGAACAAAATGAACCCATTTATACAAAGACTACAAGGGTGGAGAGACTTGGATAGCATGCAGGATATTCACAAGCAATTCTGGAAGAAAAATGGCAGATGAGTGCATTCTGTTATTAAAATCACAGCTCAGAGTCCTCCCAGGAAATGGCTGCGGTGTGTAGGGAGCTGTCTTTCACAGTGATGAAAAGAACTCTAGGTTCAGAGTGGGCAGGTATCTGGAAGAACATTTTTTCGCCAGCATCCCTTTATTTATTGATACGTCGATGAGAATAGTACCACAGCCCAATGACATTTATCATTTCAGTTGGCAGTGTCTCTGAGAGCAAGCTGCAAGATTTTCAAGCCTTCACTGAGTCTTCTACTGACATTTAGCTTAATCTTGACAAGTATATCTGACTACTGCAATGTGTTAATGATCAAGGAGTATGTCAAATTATAACATGTCTGCTGCAGGAAATTATGGGGCAATACAGACAGTGTGCACTGGATCAACCATTATCTATGCCTGGTGTTATGACAAAAATGATTGATTTTGGCATCAAAATTAAAGTGTTCGTCTGGTTCAACTTGTTCTTTGTACACCGTCCTTCATTATGACAAGCACATATAGCAAAAATACTGTCTTCAATATGAACTGTTGATTATTGATTAAACAGATCACATTTGGATGGGCTGCAGTTTCTGCATGTCTAACGGATGGGATCCTTCTGAGAATGCTAGAGTAGGGAATCATGACACCGAGCCACTTCAGTCATAGACCTTATTCTTGCACTTTTTTTTCTTGCTGGCAATTTTACATAGCAGGTTGAGAAAGCTACTCTATGCTAGTATAGACTATACACCAATAATTTTGATAATGAGTTCCAGGATGTATTTTTCTCCTTATATATTTTCCTTCCTACCATGATACTAGTAATTTATAAGGGGTCTGTGTAGTTTGAATGTATTTGAATAACTTTAGCTCTACTGTTTGATTTGACCCAAAGAAGCGAAGAGGACGTAAATATTCCCATTTAGAAGCCCAAAGTCAGTGAGATGAAACCCAACATCAAGAAATTGAAGCAAAGTTACTTGTGGATAAACAAAGCATTAGGTAAGTTGTCTAGAGCATAATAATTAGATTTACTGGCTTTCAAAAATTTGGATTGCAATAAGAGGAAACTTCATGCTATTTTTACAATTTTCAGTACAAAGGGGTGTATATCTAGAAACAATAAAGTTGACATATTTGAGTACCTTTTCAAAAAAACGTAACCATAACCTATTTTTTTTTTTTATTAAAAGGACCAGGTGCTAAACCTTGGAAGAATATTAAGGCAAGAGTATTAAGGTATTTTAATTCAGCTTAAGTATCATGTTAAGTGGTGAAATTCAGATGTAATAGAATGCATAAAAGTGTTAATCACCAGTGCTTAAGATGGCCCACAGAGGTTGTTCTACCAGGCATATAGAAATCTTTCTCACTATGCCTGTTTGTGAGCAGGATCAGTGGTTTTGCACTGCAGGCACACATTTCATTTTGTCAAATATTTTTGCAACCTCCCCTCTACTTAATAGTTTAATCACTACATCTATACAAACTACTTGGTCAATGAGGGCCCATTTTACTTGTGTCTTCCAGAAATATTTTGCATTACCCCAAATGACATCTTCCAGCAGATCTTCCTCAGATATAAAGTTTCCAAAAAACTGGCAAATAAAATTACTATCTTCAGAACTTTTCTGTATTTAAAAATAACAATAAAAAGCTATGAATTTACATAAAATTCAAACCATTGTGTTTATAGCCACAGTCCTCCACACAATTTTCATGAGACCATTGGTAAAATCATATATAAGCAACATTCCTGTATTCCTAGAAAGTGTTTATATTTCAAAAGCACTTTATTTTTCCTCAGATATTCCCCTGAAGAAATTTGGAAAGAAATTGAAATTGCCTGTGGTTGTAGCCAGTTCACCTGTAAAGAATATAAAATTCTCCCCATGAACTGGTCATCCCAGTGTCACACTTACAAGTCTGAGAAAAGTGCAAGAGGTTATTCGGAAGTATTCCTTCCTTTTTCAATTTTCTCTTTAATTAGAATAATTGGTAAGAACTAGCAGAATTGGTATCATGTTTTTCTTAAATGTTTGGTAGAATTCTTCACTGAAGCCATTTAGACCTAGCATTGGAGTCTTTGTGGAAAGGTTTTAAATTACAGCTTCAATTTCTTTAATAGATACCGGGCTATTCTGTCTGTTTGTTTTTGAGTAAGACTAGATAATTGTGTCTTTGGAGACATTTGTCCACTTCATCTAAGTTGTCAAATCTGTTGGCACAATGTTGTTCATAATTACCATTTATTATCTCTTTAGCATCTGTTGAATCTGTTGTTATGTTACTTCTCTTATTCCTGATAGGTTGTTTTTGTATTCTCTCTTTTTTTCCTGATAAGCCTGAATAGAAGTTTATCAATACTATGGACCTTCTCAAAGAGACAGAGTTTGGTTTCATTTATTTCCTGTAAATGATTTTTCCTGTTTTCTATTGCATTGATTTCTACACTGATGCTTTTTACTTCCTTTCTTCTGCTTACTGTTGGTTTTATTTTCTTTTCTAGTTTCTTTTTTTTTTTTTGAGATGGAGTTTTGCTCTTGTAGCCCAGGCTGGAGTGCAATGGCAAGATCTGGGCTCACCGCAACCTCCCCCTCCTGGGTTCAAGCGATTTTCCTGCCTCAGCCTCCCGAGTAGCTGGGATTACAGGCATGCATCACCACACCCAGCTAATTTTGTATTTTTAGTAGAGACTGGGTTTCTCCATGTTGGTCAGGCTGGTTGAACTTCTGACCTGAGGTGATCTGCCTGCCTCAGCCTCCCAAAGTGTTGGGATTACAGGCATGAGCCACCATGCCCAGCCTCATACCTGATTTTATTGTGCTTTGCTTTACTGCACTTCTCAGATACTGCATTTTTTATAAATTGAAGGCATGTGGCAACCCTGCATTGAGCAAGTCTATCAGCACCATTTTCTCCAATAGCATGTGCTCACTTTGTGTCACCGTATCACATCTGGTAACTCTTGCAATATTTTAAATTTGTATTATTATGTCTGTTATGTGATCTGTGATCAGTAATCTTTGATGTTACTATTGTAATTGTTTTGGGGTGCCACAACTGTGCCAATATAAGATGACAAACTTGCCAGTAAATGTGTGTATTCTGACTGCTCCACCGACCATCCCCCATCTCTTTTTTCCTCTCTTCAGGCCTCTGTATTCCCTGAAACAGAACAGTATTGAAATTAGGCCAATTAATAATCCTACAATCGCCTCTAAGTGTTCAAATGAAAGGACGAATCACGTATTTCTCACTTTAAGTCAAAAGCTAGAAATGATTGAGCTGAGTGAGGAAGGCATCCTGGAAACCAAGATAGACGGGAAGCTAGGCCTCTTTCACCAAACAGTTGGCCAAGCTGTGCATGCAAAGAGAATGTTCCTGGAGGAAATTAAAAGTGCTACTCCAGTAAACACACAAGTGATGAGAAAGTGAAACGGCCTTATTGCTGATATGGAGAAAGTTTGAGTGCTCTGGACAGAAAATCAAACCAGCCACAACATTCCCTTAAACCAAAGCCTAATCCAGAGGAAGGCCCTAACTCTCTTCAGTTCTATGAAGGCTGAGAGAGGTGAGGAAGCTGAAGAAGAAAAGTTGGAAGGTAGTAGAGGTTGGTTCGTGAGGTTTAAGGAAAGAAGCCATCTCCGTAAATTAGCTTTTAAAACTTTTTTAAGCAGGCAATCTCTGACTTTGCTTCAGTAACATTTCCTTCTCCTGCTCTTTCTCATTTTCCCATTGCTCATGCTTATACCTGCCCATCTTTCTCTAGTATTAAAGTTTGGATAAATATTTGATCTTTGAATACTATTTTATATTGTTATATGCCTCTGATTTTATCCTCTGGACAAACTTGAGAGACAGTGCAAAAATTTCTTTATATCTTTATAATATAAAGAATTATGGCAAATTTTAAAAGAAGTACCAGCTTTATTGAGGTATAATTTACGTATAATAAACTGCACCCTCTCCACCCCCTCCCCTCACTGTCTACCAAAAAATGTCTGATGATATCCTGGCATTCTGACCCTGCCTGGAAAACACCATAGAGAAAGACAGCAATGTGCTTCCTCGCTCTGGAGTTCTATTGGATTTTAATGGCCATAGATGTATTATGAGCCACACAAACCAGCACTAAAGTAGAGAATTTTTTCCAGAAAAGGTGTGCTAAAAAAGCATGTAAATGAAAGCTTTTATTTGTTTTATTTTCAGCAACCAAGACATAAAATTATTAGGTAGGCCATGATACACAAACACTAACCACTGTACCATCCTTTGATGTTCATTGCAATGGATTCAATGTTTGTGCCCCCCACACAAATTCATATGTTGAAATCCTAGCCCCCAAAGTGATGAGATTAGAAGGGAGGATTGCTGAGAAGTGATTCAGTCATGATGGGCCCTCGGAAATGGGATTAGTGCTCTTATCAAAGAGACTAGGAGCACTGGCTTGCCCCTATCACCACATGAGGACACAGCAAGAAAGCACCCATCTATGAACCACAAAGCAGGCCTTCACCAGACACTGAATCTGCCAATGCCATGATCTTGGACTTCCCAGCCTCCAGAACGATAAGAAACACATTTCTGTGGTTTATAAGTCACCCGGTCTATGGTATTTTGTTGTAGCATCCCAAATGGACGAAGACATAGTTCACTGTCAGTTCAATTGGCCATGAAGGATTATGGGGCCTGTGTGTCCCTGGCACTGTGATAGGAACTGGGGAGAACACAGAGGGAAATTAATAATACTTCAGCCTGTATTTTAATAACTTAGAGTTTAGTAGAAATAAACTGAAAGGCATAGCAGGGTGAAAAAAAAAAGTGTAAGTAATGTACTAATATTTGTTGAGCCCCACCATATGCTAGACTCTATTGTCTTACTTATACCTCTCAGCAAACCTATAAGTTAGGTCCTATTAGCTGATTTATAGATGGCAAAATAGGCTCAGTGAGGTCAAGTAACTTGCCCTATGTTATAGAGTTATCAGTGGGAAAGTTGAAAGTGGTCAAGGGCTATTTATAGTCAGGAGAAATTAAGTGAGTTTAGAGTCATTCCTTTTCTGTAGCATTACATTAGTCCTGAAATAAAGCAAAATGTATCAAATTCATATACCATATATAAATATATATTTTATTTTATTATTATTATTTTAAGACAGAGTTTCAGTCTTGTTGCCCAGGCTGGAGTGCAATGGTATGATCTTGGCTCACTGCAACCTCCGCCTCCTGGGTTCAAGTGATTCTCCTGCCTCAGCTTCCTGAGTAGCTGGGATTATAGGCATGGACCAACACATCCGGCTAATTTTGTATTTTTAGTAGAGACATGTTGGTCAGGCTGGTCTCGAACTCCTGACCTCAGGTGATTCACCTGCCTCGGCCTCCCAAAGTACTGGGATTACAGGCATGAGCCACTGCGCCTGGTCCTGTATTTTAGATAAGAAAGATGCTTTATCTGTCTCCCATTGGAATACACTTTTGTTGTTCGTTTTTTTTTAACTTAATTAAACTTGAAAGCCAACTTTTGTCAAAACAGAAGAAAATAAAGCAATTTTTAAAAAAATCCAGTGTTTAAAATACTTGTCATTTATAATATATGCATATAACAGAAAAGTAGAAAATAATTCTGCATTTTAAAAGCTTAGCTTCTACATGGCAAGTGTGGGACATAAAGTTGATACTTGACCATTAACTGGATATATTCTAGATTTTCACATTTAATGATAATGGATGTGTGCGTCTCATGGTCAAACTAAAATGATTTATTTTTTACAAATTATCTTTATCATTAGCAAACCAGTCTTACTTTTATTAGTCAATTATAAGTCCACAGAGATATAGGAGCTCAATTTGTTACAGGGAACTTGAGCATTCCATGGATTATCTGAGCTGAATTTGAAGAATGTACTGTGGAGATCTTCTATGTGATATATATAAAGGACGTAGGTCAACTACTGGTTATTATTTAGAAAATACTTTAGGGAAAAAAATTATCTTCTGGGGCCAATAATTGAGTTCTATTAAACTACAGAGGTAGATAATTTTGAAATGAGAAATCAAAATATATTTTGATTTTATATTACTCATATTTTCATTTTATTCATAAAGTTTTTTGGAAAAAGACAACAGAAATTGTACTTTGTTGAGAAGACTCCTAGAGCCAAATAGTCACAGACTCAGAATACACAGAGACAAGCAAAGATGGTTCCAGCAAGCTCTAAGGACACAGACATGTGAAAGAGGCGCTGAAGACACACGAGGACTGATGCATGGTAGATGTCATCCTGATATGGCTGGGCTTCTGGACTCACTGCCTCCTCCTTCTAGAACCCAGCACCTCCAAGGCTGGGAGAAGAGAAGTTTGGGGTCTATGGGAAATGACCTCTGGAAGTGGCTGTGACTGTTTCCAAAGACAAATACAATCTAGATTCTCGAAACAATGCAAATGAACAAAAAATGTGAGTTTAGCAGTTAGTGAAACATTAAGATGAGATACAGGAGTAAACACATTTTTTTCCATAAAAGTAGTGGATGTTAAATAATGAAATACAGTGGTAAAACAATTACAGCCTGGAGGCTTTAAGATGTAAATCAAAAATGGAGACCAGTGGTGTTAATATCATATGAGAGGATTAAATATGAGCTGCTGGTCCAACTGTGTTCTGCAGGAATTCAGGCAGATGGATGAGAGACAGGCTATGAGTAAAGCATTACCACAGCTGGGGGTGCGGTGTATGGAAGCTCATCCTAGCTAGCACTTGGAGAAGAACTCACACATTGCAAACATATCCGGTTAAAAACTGGCATTTGCTGCAACTAAAAAAGGCAAGTGATGGTCTAGGTGAACTGCCTTTTCTTTCTCTCCTTCCAAAGGACAAAATTAATTTTTTTTTTTTTTTGAGACGGAGTCTTGCTCTGTCACCCAGACTGGAGTGTAGTGGTGTGATCTCGGCTCACTGCAAGCTCTGCCTCCCAGGTTCACACCATTCTCCTGCCTCAGCCTCCCAAGTAGCTGGGACTACAGGTGCCCCCCACCACGCCTGGCTAATTTTTAGTATTTTTTAGTAGAGACGGGGTTTCACCATGTTAGCCAGGATGGTCTCAATCTCCTGACTTCGTGATGTGCCCGCCTCGGCCTCCCAAAGTGCTGGGATTACAGGTGTGAGCCACCGCACCCGGCCCCACAAAATTAAATTCTTAATTAAGGAAACTGTTTCTTTTACATCTATTTTTTTCATCCGAAACTCAAATGCCAAATATTTAGCTATTATACATGTATTCATTTTCTTAGAATACACTCTATCCAGCTTGACATTTCTTTTAAATTTTCCCATTACATAATTAGATTCTTGATCCTCATTTATGTGATGTTTCCATCATGTGCTGGGTTTTATGCTCCAAATACATGTCCTTTCATACTTTAATGGACACAAATGTGCTTTATAAATATTTTGAAATCCATTTTAAGGTAATTTATTGAGTGAAAATTCTGTGCTTGGTATTTTATTGGGGTCAGTGGTGGGGTAGGAGAAGGAAAGGTCATGGCTTTTGCCCTCCAAGGAAGTTGCAGGGAAACTGTCTCTGATTTCATTATCAAAGCGAGGCCCCTTTCTATTTCTCCATTTCAATACCTTTTCTACTGACTTCAGATCTATCAGATGTTATAATTATTTCCCACTTGTGTTTGTGTAACTGTGTTCTGACTATCCACACATTAGGTGTGGGCTCTGTGAAAGCAGGGACCATATTGATCCTGTTCAATGTCATACCATATCCCTAGCATAGAACTAGTAGAGGCATAACAAAGATCTGTGAAAAAGTAAATGCATGCATAAGTCAGTTGATCAATTAATGTACATCACTTGGCAAAAGAATAAAAGGATCACGAGAGCAGAAGAAAGAAGACTTTATATTTTGCAGAAGAAAATTTTCTGTGTCTTCAAATGATCACAAATATAATTAATAAAGTTGATGAGGCTTTCTTCAAAATGGTGCTTGTAGAAAAAGTGAGAGAAAGGCAAAACAAGAGAAATAATATGGATATTTAGCATTCTGGATGTTTGCTAAGTGACAATTTAACCATAAGAATACACTTCACAGGCCGGGAGTGGTGGCTCACACCTGTAATCCCAGCACTTTGGGAAGCTGAGGCAGGCGATCACGAGGTCAGGAGATCAAGACCATCCTGGCTAACATGGGGAAACCCCATCTCTACTAAAAATACAAAAACAAAATTAGCTGGGCGTGATGGTGGGCGCCTGTAGTCCCAGTTACTCAGGAGGCTGAGGCAGGAGAATGGCGTGAACCTGGGAGCTTGCAGTGAGCTGAGATCACGCCACTGCACTCCAGCCTGGGCAACAGAGTGAGACTCCGTCTCAAAAAAAAAAAAAAGAGTACATTTCACTCCATTGTCGAGAGAGAGATATATATATATATAAAATACATATTAAATTATGTGTGTGTATATATATATCTTTTAAGACCAATTTTATTGAGATATAATTTATAGACAGTTAAAGTCACTCATGTTGTGTATAATACAATTAGAATTTTGACAAATGTGTACATACAGTTGTATAATTGGTGCCACAATCAAGATATAAAATATTTCCATTACCCATAAAAAGTTTCCTCAGTCCCTTTTGTGGCCAATGAATCCCCACCTTCCTGCAACCAATGGTTTTCTTTCAGAGACTATAGTTTTTTGTTTTCAAACTTTCTGTGAATAGAATATTACACTGTGTATTTGATAATTGTTTTCTTTCAATCAGCATGGTGTTTTTAAATTCATCTATGTTATGTATATTACTACTTCATCCTCTATTTTTGCTTAGTAGTATTCCTTTTCTAGCTAGAAAGTAGTATCAAGATACTAAAATATATTTGTTCATCACTTGTTGGTAGGCAACTATAAATAAATTTATTGCCATAAGCATGTGTATACAAGCTTTCTGTGAGCATATGTTTTCATTTTTCCTGTATAAATTTCTACAAGTGAGATTTTGGGGTCATATGGTAAATCAGTACCAAAGTATTTTCCAAAGTAATGTATTATTCTTCATTTTCATCAGCAATATGTGGGAGTTCTAGTTGTTCTACATCTTTACTAATATTTGGAATCATCAATCTTCTTAATTTTAGTCATTCTTTTTTTTTTTTTTTTTTTTTTTGAGATGGAGTCTCGCTTTGTCTCCCAGGCTGGAGTGCAATGGCACAATCTTGGCTTATTGCAACCTCTGCCTCTCAGGTTCAAGTGATTCTTCTGCCTCAGCCTCCCAAGTAGCTGGGATTACAGGCGCCTGCCACCACGCCTGGCTAATTTTTGTATTTTTAGTAGAGACAGACAGGGTTTCACCATATTGGCCAGGCTGGTCTTGAACTCCTGACCTCATGATCCGCCCTCCTTGGCCTTCCAAAGTGCTGGGATTACAGGCATGAGCCACCGCGCCCGGCCTTGATGACGTCTCTCTTTCACTTTTGTTCCTGACAGTCCAGACTGCACAATTTCGGATGTGGGAGACTGGGTGATTTCTTTGATCTTCCCAACCAAATATGACTTACTTAAGGATTTTACCTGTAAAATACATTATTAAAGGTTAAGAGAAGGGTGACAATGGTGGCCTCCTTAGCTTAACTGAATGGTTATGGTTTTTAGTTGTAGTTGCAATCTTATGCTTGTGTGGTTCTTTGATTAGTGTTTGCTTTCTCTATCCTATACTATTAGCTTCATGAGAATAGGAAAATTATTCCTCTTTGAACTCACCATTGTATTCCCAATTCTAGCACAGCGCCTGGGATTTCCTCTGTATGTGTTTTTGAAATGCACCCAATAGATCCACAGACAGATTTTAAAAATATAAACATAGAAACAAATCCTTCTGGTCTTGAAGCTTGAAACTTACATTTGTTTTCTCTGAGTTTCTTCCTCAGGAAATGGACTCTCAGCTCTCTCAAAAAGTATCAAAGAAGTGAAATTCATCAGACCACTGTGTCGAGACAATGAGATGCCAGATGCCAGATTCCTTATTTGTCATGATTGCTTCCTTAGCCCTCCCTAGTTCCTGTTTTCCTGCTCATAGTTACATTTCTTCCTTGCTATATAATCCCCTAATTTCGGCTGGTTGAGGAGATGGAATTGAGACTGATATCCCATATCCTTAGCTGTAGCATGCAATTAAAGCCTTCTTCCTTGGCAATATTCATTGTCTCAGTGATTGGCTTTCTGTGTGCAAGTAACAGAACCTAGATTGAACTCCTGGTATTTCAGTAACATTTTGTGTGTAAGAAAGAGGCTGGAGGAAGGAGAGTAGGGGAAATAGGAAGAGTGTCTTAATATTTTTGTTGCTATAACAGAATACCACAGACTGAGTGATTTATAAAGAAAATAAATGTATTTAGCTCTGAGGCCTAGGAATGCCAAGAGCATGATGCTGGCCTCTGGAGAAGGCCTTCTTGCTGCCTAACAACATGGCAGGGGGCATCACATAGTGAGAGAGCAAGAGCAAAAGGGCTTATGATAAGGAACCCACTACTATGCTAGTGACATTAATCCATTCATGAGGGCAGGACTGACATAAATCTATTCATGAGAGAAGAGGGATTAAGTTTCCAATCTACGAACTTTTGGAGGATACATTCAAACCATAGCAGAAAGACAGACAGAGATAGATATGGAAAGAGGGAACAAGCACACATCACACATACAAAAACTGGACAATATTTTTGTAAATGAAATGCCTAGAGCCTCTCTCGTATATTGTATTTGTTGGTATTTTCTCAATTTAAACTTATCACTCCATAATTTCTCTTTTTCTTCCCCAAAATGATGTACATGTTTCTTCCTTATAACCATAAAACACAGTAATTGTTTCCTGGAAAATTTTAAATGTCTCACTACAATTCAAGTATCATACTTACTATATGTTTTTTATCTTCTGTATATTTTGAAAATGTAAGAGCATTATTGTCTTATACAAAATAGGTGCTAGCAGAGTGAAGAGACAACCAAAAATAACTCAATAAGAAATGGACAAATGATCCAAATAGA
Organism: Homo sapiens; assembly: GCF_000001405.40. Taxonomy (NCBI): domain Eukaryota; kingdom Metazoa; phylum Chordata; class Mammalia; order Primates; family Hominidae; genus Homo; species Homo sapiens. The sequence goes on along the minus strand of NC_000009.12, from coordinate 39,375,366 downwards.
CATTTTTCAAAAGAAGACATACAGGCCAACAGGCATATAAAAAATGCTCAATATTACTAATCATTAGAGAAAGGCAAATTAAAAACACTTTGAGATATCACCCCATACGTGTTAGGATGGTTATTATAAAATGACAAAATATAACAAGTGTTGGAGAAGACTTGAAGGAAAGGCATCATGGAAAATAGCATGGAGGTTCCTTCAAAAATTAAAAATGAACTACCATATGAACCAGCAATCCCACTACTGGGTATATATCCAAAGGAAATGAAATCCGTATGTCGAAGAGATATCTGCAACACCATATACATTAAATCTTATTTATATATTAGCCCAAGATGTGGAAACAATGTAAGTGTCCATCAGTGGATGAATGAATTTTAAAAAGTAGTATATATACACAATGAAATACTATTCAGCCATAAAAAATAATGAAATCTTATTATTTGTGACAACGTGGATGAACCTGGAGGACATTATGTTAAATGAAACAAGCCAGGCACAGAAAGACCATATGATTTCACTTTTATGTCGAATCTGAAAAAGCTGAACTCATAGAAGTAGAGAGTAGACTGGTGGTTACCAGGAGCTGGACTTGGGGTGGGGAGTGGGGATGTTTATCAAAGGATTCAAAATTTCATTTAGGAGAGGGGAAATATTCAAGAAGAGATCTACCGCACAACATGGTCACTATAGTTAATAACAACATATTGTATTTTTGAAAAAAAATGCAAAGAAACAAAGTAAGTATTAAATAAAAACTGGTTCTTTGAAGCTTTGGCACTGTAATATATGAAGGCCAGAAGCCACATTTATATAGTTCCGTTTCTTGAGCATCCAAGACAATGGATGAGATGACAGTGTTGAGGAAGACAGGTCACTCACTGCGAACACTAGATTCAGCTTCTCCCCCTGCTGTTTGACTCATTCTGCAGAAGGTGAGAATTTATCTGAAGGAGTTTACATATTTTTATGTGACAATGTATTCCTGAGAAGATACCAAATTCTTTCTTCTACATCAAAAATACAGCATGAAACTGACAAGAGAGCACATAAATGATGATTTTTTTTTTTAAGTTTCCAGGAATATCACATGTATCATATTACTGAAAAGAAAAAGAGCATTTTATGCCATGAAAAACTTTGGATATCCTTGAATAATGTTGACTAAAAACAGTGAGTTTATTTAGTATTCATTGTGTCTATATTTGGAGTGTATATTTTTAGTATTTGTCATCTTGCTTATCAAACTCCTGAATCTCACTTAAAAAGTATTTTCCAAAGTTTTTGAAATTTCTCCACAAAAGAAGAAAAAACAAAAAAGCAAGTATTGGAAGTCAAATAGGTTTGAGAAATATTATGACACATGTCCTTCTTGCACATCATAAAGCCTCTAACACTTTTCATAGTAAACCAATAAATGAAACTCAGACTTCTTGCTTTGCTTAATCAAAAAATTAAAGTTTTCCAAACTTCTTTGACTACAGAATCTTTTGACAACACAATATTGATCATTGCACACTTTGAGAGATATTACTCTACAAAAGTCACTGCACAGCACCACTAAAATATGGTGACCGATAAAATGGGCAAAGGTCATTCAGTGAAAGTTTCAAAGCAAAGAGAATGAATGAATATATATATATATATATGGATGTCTACTTTTTGGATTACAGTTTTCAGATTATGTTTGTTTTAAATAAGCCAGTCTGCTTTCATAAAAATTATACTTTTAAGCCATTTTCTGATGAGACATTTGTCATCATGAGAACAATGTAGTAAAAGTTTGTTACACTGGGGATTAAGATATTAGAGTTTCCATTCAAGATTCCCTAATACTGGAAGAGGTTCACTTAAATTCCATGATTCTATGAGAGGAGTCAAATCTGAGGTGCAGGCTCTGCACCTTCCCAGGCCTGCAGGGGCTTTGCACCTTCTTGCAGAACATTTGCCAGCTGTTATCGCTTCACTCTTAGGTCACTGCCTTCAGTCAAGTCTTTTTTTTTTTTTTTTTTTTTTAGACAGAATTTCGCTCTTGTTGTCCAGGCTTGAGTGCAGTGGTGCAGTCTCGGCTCACTGCAACCTTCGCTTCCCGGGTTCAAGCAATTCTCCCATCTCAGCCACCTGAGTAGCTGGGATTACAGGCACCCGCCACCAAGCCCAGCTCATTCTTTTTGTATTTTTAGTAGAGATGGGGTTTCATCATGTTGGCCAGGCTGGTCTTGAACTCCTGACCTTGGGTTATGCACCCACCTTGGCCTCCTAAAGTGTAGGGATTACAGGCGTGAGCCACCATGCCCGGCCCCAAGTCAAGTCTTTTTCACAGCCTTGGTTCACCATAAAACTAAGGTGGACAATTGTCATGGACAGAATTGTGTTGCCTCAAATTTATGTTGAAGTCCTCACCTCTAGTACCTCAGAATGGGGCTGTATTTGGAAAGAGGACCTATAAAGAGGTAATTGAGGTAAAATTAGGTTATATGGGTGGGCCCTAATCAGTAAGACTGATTTCCTTGTAAGACAAGGAGATGTGGACAGAGACCACACACAGACCACAGGACAATCATGTGAGGACACAGTAAGAAGGTGGCCATTGGCAAGGGAAAGAGAGAGGCCTCAGAAGAGACCAAATGTGCTGATTCCTTGACCTTGGACTTCCAGCCTCCAAAACTGTGAGAAAAGAAATTTTTTATGGCTGCATAGTATTCCATGGTGTATATGTGCCACATTTTCTTAAAAATGATGAGTTCATGTCCTTTGTAGGGACATGGATGAAATTGGAAATCATCATTCTCAGTAAACTATCGCAAGAACAAAAAACCAAACACCGCATATTCTCACTCATAGGTGGGAATTGAACAATGAGAACACATGGACACAGGAAGGGGAACATCACACTCTGGGGACTGTTGTGGGGTGGGGGGAGGGGGGAGGGATAGCATTGGGAGATATACCTAATGCTAGATGACGAGTTAGTGGGTGCAGCATACCAGCATGGCACAGGTATACATATGTAACTAACCTGCACATTGTGCACATGTACCCTAAAACTTAAAGTATAATAATAATAAATAAACAAAGAAAGAAAGAAAGAAAGAAAGAAATTTATGTTACTTAAGCCACTCAGTCTGTGGTATTTTGTTATGGCAGCCCTAGTAAACTAATACAAATATTTTTAGGGACAACAAACCATGGACTTTGTTATTCTAGTAAGATGACTTTAGCACTATTACCTACTTCTACCTTGAAGTGGTAAAAAAAGGCAGTGAGAAGCATTTCCATGGAGTGTATAAATCGTGTCCCGTGAAACAGAATTAGCTAATAAGGTTAACACCTGTCAGCTGTATATGATGCTGCGTCTCCAATCTCCATCCGGACAGCAAAGGGGAAGGCATGGACAGGAGACCTGCCTTCAGAAGAGCAGCTGACAAAGGGGCCCACAGCCTGGGGACGGTGACGGCAGTAGCCCCCCGAGGCCTGGGATCCCACAGCACAATTGTGAAGGGAAAGTCTTACTTGCTGGGCCCAGATGTGTAATTTTCTCCCACCACTGTTTTTTTTTGTGAAAAATTCTTAAATAAACATGGTGTTGGACATTTTTCTGACTAGGAAGTTAGGATATTTGCTTTTCTAGCATCTTTATTAGATGACTTTTTATGTTTGCAAAGTCACTCAGAAAAAACTTCATCCTCCCAACACCTCCCTGGACCACAGTCCCCACAAATGACATTGAACTCACAACATAAAGGAACTCACCACTAGGTAAATAGGTGCTTGACTGTGATTTAACACCTGAATTACTAAAATTGATTGCAATAATTATCCAAAGAAAAACAGCCAAGTGCAGCAGTAACGACAGCCTCTGAACTCTCTCCACATCTTCTTGCAGACAGCGTCTGAGCTGTTTCCATGTCTTCTCCGGGACAGTCTCTGAGTTTCTGAGCTCTTTCCACGTCTTCTCCGGGACAGCCTCTGAACTCTCTCCACGTCTTCTCTGGGACATCCTCTGAGCTCTCCACGTCTTCTCTGGGACAGCCTCTGAGCTCTTTCCACGTCTTCTCTGGGACAGCCTCTGAGCTGTCTCCACGTCTCCTCCAGGACAGCCTCTGAGCTCCCTCCACATCTTCTCTGGGTCTCCTGTGGAGTCTGATCACCTTTCAGTTAAGGCATCTCCTGTGAGCAGCCCAGTTGGCTACTCTGAGTTCTGGGGGTAGCTGTCCTTGGTTTCTCTGAATTGCCCAGAAACCAACCTTTCTGTTGCCCATCGTAGTGCCTACGTGGCTTAGCTGGAGCCCTACCCTGCTTTTGTTGCCCAACAAATGCCTATGTGACAGAGCTAAATTCCCATTCAGCTTTAACTGCTTAGTTTTAGAAAACAGGATGTCTGGGGTCAGAAGTTCCTTCTTAGGACTAAACTGGCTGAAGCTGGCAAAATCCGCAATGGCAGCTTGACCTCTGAAAAACCTCTAGCTTCATTATGATCCAATTTCCATGCTAAATGACACTCCCACTGGCACCTTGACAGTTGACAATCACCATGACAATGGCCAGAAGAGACCAAAAACAGGCAGAAAAGAGGTGGCTCTTTGATTCCAAAAAAACCTACCTCCCTTCCCAAGAAAAGCTATGAATATTTCTCCCTTTCCTCTGTATACCCAGCCCCTTCATTAAGAATCCTCAGTTCTCAGGCTCTGAGAAGTTGATTTGCAGGCTATGCTCCCACTTCTGCAATTCCATGGCCATTGAAAAAAGCCCACACTGTTTGATACTCACTCTCGGTTTGGTGTATTGGCTTCACACCAAACAAGAAAGAGCTCCTTTAGGGGTAGTCAGGACCCTGATTATATTCCCACATAGAAACTGTTCCCACTCACTACTGGCACAGCAGAACACATAAACTGTCAGATGGCTCCATTTCAATGATTTGACTTGTAATTCTCAATTGTTTCTGTTCCTAAGATTTTAGGACTTTCTATCAACTCATAAAAAAAATCTTTAAAAAGGTAAGGCAACCTTCAAATCTAAGATGCTCAGCTTTAAACTAGTAAGTTCTTAAGGATGTTTTTTTTCCTTCAAGGAAACTATTCTCCTCTTTGCTGAGCAATAATACAGGTTTTAATATTAAATAAGTACACAAAGTAAAAGAAACAGACAAAAATGTCTTCATAGCAAGGCTGTTAACAGATTTCTTTCTTTGTTTTTTATTTTTGAGATGGGGTCTCACTCTGTTGCCCAGGCGGGAGTGCAGTGGCACAATCTCAGCTCACTGCAACCTCTGCCTCCTCAGTTCAAGTGATTCTCCTGCCTCAGCCTCCCAAGTTGCTGGGATCACAGGTGCCTGCCATCACGCCCGGCTAATTTTTTTGTATTTTTAGTAGAGACGGGGTTTTGCCATGTTGGCCAGGCTGGTCTCAAACTGCTGACCTCAGGTGATCCGCCCACCTTGGCCTCCCAAAGTGCTGGGATTACAGGCATGAGCCACCGTGCCTGGCCAGATTTCTAATATACGTAAAGAAAAAAGAAAAATTTTCAAATATTTGTTTAGATAAGTACTGATATTTAAAAAAACAACCAAGCCTAAATCCCTAGATTTACAATTTTTAAAAAATAAGAAAAGCAATGTAATTCACAGAATAAAATCTTTTGGAGTAAAGTAATATAACTCTAACAAATTGGTAAATCTAGGCAAGAAATGACTTGCCCAAGTAACAGACCTAGTAGGTGGAGAGTTCATCTGACTCCAGAAACCACACTCTACAAAATAAACTTATTGACGTGAAGAATGTATATAATCTGTAACTGGTGTGAAACTGTGGCAGAAATACAAAGAGCCGTGGTCTTGCTCATGATGTTCAAAGGCAATATTTGAACTGAGGGATGGCTGTGTGAATTGAAGTGGTCACTGGAGAAACGTGTTTGAGATTGTGAACCATGGGGAACAGGGGGTGGTAATTCTGGATTTTCGGCATAGAGGAGAAAGAAAGAACTGCAAACATCATTACAGTGAAGGAGGGTGAGGCCCTCCGAAAACTGATTGCGTTTCACCAGAAACACTGATCCAGTGGGGGCAGCTGAAGCACGAAAATGATTAGAACCAGAGTGATGTCACCCACTTTTCTTTCTTTCTTTCTTTTTCTTCTTTTTTTTTGAAACAGAGTCTCGCAGTCTCGCTCTGTCTCCCAGGCTGGAGTGCAGTGGCGCGATCTCGGCTCACTGCCAGCTCCGCCTCCTGGGGTCACGTCATTCTCCTGCCTCAGGCTCCCGAGTAGCTGGGACCACAGGCGCCCCCACCATGTCCGGCTAATTTTTTTGTATTTTTAGTAGAGAGGGGGTTTCACCGTGTTAGCCAGGATGGTCTCGATCCCCTGATCTCGTGATCTGCCCGCCTCGACCTCCCAAGGTGCTGAGATTACAGGCGTGAGCCACCGTGCCTGGCCGATGTCACCCACGTTTCTTAGGAAAGACGTTAGCATCCTCTAAATCCTCACCAACTGTGCCTGGCGCAGCATTATTTTGCAGTTTTCTGGGATTTACAGTTGGCATCATTTGCACAGCGGCAGCGTGACGTGGCTGTGGAGAGCACAGAAGCTCTGTCCCCACGGAAGTGGGCTCTTCTGGTTGCAACATGGTGGAGGCCAGCCCGGCCTCAGGTGAGGGAAGATGCCACAGCAAACCTCTGAGCAACCAAGATGACAAGCACCTGCTTGGAAAAGGTGACAAGCCACAAGGCCATAGGCCCAGTTATAAGGATGAATTGTGTTACACGAATGGTTATAAACCTGACCGACCTCAGAAGGTATATGGAGGAGGCAATTATCAAGCCCCTTGGTGGTCTGTGGCTGGATGCACCATACTTTGCCAACGGTGTGAGCATGGCAGAGAATGTAGGTGTGTATATAGGGGAAAACCTCCAGAAAGTTTTTTCTGTGGGAGTTCTTTGTAAAATAATAACAATGCAACTAGAATTATATTGCAATCTATAAAGGGAAATCACTCTTAGGGATCAACATTGTAGAAAGACAACTTGTTTTTTGCTTCTTTGCTCAGTGTTAAGAAGTCATCACATCACTGTCACCCTCCCCACATTCTGTTCTGTAGTGCCCGATTTGTTGAAAGCAGTATGAGGCCTGTTTTAAACATAAATCTATTCTAAATCTAAATTTGTAATACATTCTGAAAGTCATTTAGACAGTCTTTTGCCTGGAGATTAAAAATTACTTTATTTCTAGCAAAGTGCTCTGACGTAAAATATTTTAACAACAAAGAAGATCTGTGTTTGTTGTTTTCTCCATTATCTAATTATTGATATCCATTTCATCTGGGCACATATAAATGGTAAAAATATTTACAAGCTTTGAATTAGGTGAATCTAATTAAAAATAAAATATAGATGTTAATAGAGCCTGGAAATATTGTCAATATCTTTTTAATAGATTGAGCCCCGTTGATTATTTCTTCTGGGGTAAAGGCTCAAATTTATTCTGTGAAATTAGACACTCAAATCATCTGAGGCAATATATGGCAGATGAATATACACTGATTGATGGAAATGTTGCTTTAATGCACATTGTTCATTGCAATTTTGTGTAGATTACTGAACTATGAATTACTATTGAGGAACAGCACATTCAACGTGTCATAGCAATCAACTATTTAGTATGGACATTTTCTATGTTTCTAGATTTTCTGGCCACTCTGAGCAAATTCAAATCAAATGACTGAAGTATAATCACTTATTTTAACTCTGTTAAAACAGTCAACTTGAAAAGTATATTTTTCTGTATGAATTTTTTTTTCTAATTGACTCTATTTTGTTCTGATAACTAAACTTATTTAAGTTGCGCTGTTGAAAAAAACTATAGGCCAAGCGCGGTGGCCCATGCCTGTAATCCCAGCACTTTGGGAGGCCGAGGAGGGTGGATCACGTGGTCAAGAGATCCAGACCATCCGGGCTAACACAGTGAAACCCTCTCTCTACTAAAAAAAAAAAATACAAAAAAATTAGCCAGTCATGGTTGCTGGCGCCTGTAGTCCCAGCTATTCAGGAGGCTGAGGCAGGAGAACGGTGTGAACCCAGGAGGCTGAGCTTGCAGTGAGCCAAGATCACGCCACTGCACTCCAGCCTGGGTGACAGAGCAAGACTCTGTCTCAAAAAAAAAAAAAAAAAAACAACAAAAACAAAACTATATATATATGCATATGTATAATCTGAAGATCCATGTCGATTCCATTATTTTACGATGCAGTGACATTATAAGGAAGTGGAAAAATTAAGTTAAAATTTTTTAATTATGATGAATATAGAAAGGGGATTTCTTGTTGAAACAAATAGGCTAAAAGAGCCTTGATGTCAGCTATGCCTCTCTTAGAGAAAAGACTGTGACCCTGTCATCCCGTTGGATAATCTAGTGATATGCTTTAACAGCTATTGTTAAAATAGATTTTACCAAGGCAAGGACAACAGTTTGCTTATGAGCAATGAGAAGTAAGTAGTCTTACCAGAGTGCACCCTTTGGAAAGTGCTGCGTATATAATTAGTGAGGCCATTCATAATTCATTTTTATTGTACAAATGCTGATTAAATGTATACCTTCTTCCACTCAAATGTTAACGTGTCCCTTCCTCAATACATTTTATTAGGCTATGTATATATCTCAAGCATAGATTAATTTGTTTTGTAAGATTTCAAAACATTCCTTTTTTAGCCCTGTAATGAATATAAAATGGATCCCTACTGCCCATCTTAGAGAATGCGTGTTTCATAGAACTGTTTAAAAAATAAATCCTTTTAAATTGCCCATCTGCTTAAGCTATGTTTGTGGAACATTAGGACTAAGTCATGTCTGACAAACATGTGTCATACTACTATTTGAGGGCATTACTGCATTTTAAGGAATAAAATAATATTATTAAGAAGTATAATTTTTCCAAGTGATACAATAAGAATATTGCTAGAGATTTGACCTATTTGTGAAAAATCTTTGCATGATTATTAGCTTGCTAAAAATAAAATGAACTCTGCAAACGTGATCCAAGCTGTTCTGTATGAAATTATGTGCTAGTTGCACAGTCCCCTGGGAGACCAGTGTGAGTCCAGATGCCTCTTTGCTGGTTTGTTTCATTTCTGGGGTTCATTTTCTAGAGGTTTTTATCATATTTTCAAAGTACAGAAGTCAGGCATCTCAAATTCAAGTCTTGTCTCCCCCAAACTTTAAAAAATATATGACATTGATGTAATTTGGCTGGATAATAACAAACTGAACAAATAAGATATTTTCTTTCATTGAAGGTTGGTAACATTTTCTTCACTTAAAAATTTTTGGTTGGGCACAGTGGCTCATGCCTATAATCTCAGCACTTTGGGAGGCCGAGGCGGGTGGATCACCTGAGGTCAGGAGTTCGAGTCCAGCTGGCCAACATGGTGAAACCCTGTCTCTACTAAAAATACAAAAATTAGCCGAACATGGTAGTGCACACCTATAATCCCAGCTACTCAGGAGGCTGAAGCAGGAGAATCTCTTGAACTCCAGAGGCGGAGGTTGCAGTGAGCCAAGATTATCCCACTGGACTCCAGCCTGGGCGACAGAGCAAGACTCCATCTCAAAAAATAATTTAAAAAAATGAATTTTCTAAATTGTGGGTCAGAATTCAAGCTAATGGAAACCTGTGGAAGAAAGAATTTTGCAGGTCTGCCTGTGGAATCCATAATTCTTTTCAGAGGCAGCGCTATTACAAAAAAAAAAAAAAAAGTGTGAGGATGTCCCCAAGCAGAAAACCGCCTTCACTGCAATGTGGGGAGTGCAACTGATATCCCGGCTGTGCTGCTACTGTGCTGAGTGGTTTTATATCCACTGAGAAGGACGTGTCAACAGGTGGCTGCTCAGGCCCCTAAAGAATGGATGGATGTGAGGTCTCTGTGAAGCCTCTGGGCCAGGTCTCTGAGGAGTATCTGTGAGGGGCATCTCACCTATGGTGAGGACGCTGTGTGAGCGCTGCATGGGAGGCCTCAGTGCCAGGCTCCTGGTGAGAACTCTGAGTGAGGTCTCTGTGGAGCCTCAGTTTGAGGTTTCTGCGTGAGTTCTGTGTGGAAAGTCTCTAAGAAATCCGAGTCAGTTTCTGTACGAGGCCTGTGAGGCCACATGAGGTCTCTGTGGGAGGACTCCATGGGGCAGCAAGAGGGCTCCATTGCCTCTTGTGAGGCCTCTGTATGAGGCCTTTGCAGAAGGTCTGTGTGGGAGGTATCTTCCAGAGGTCTCTGTGGGGTCTCTGTGGGAAGTCCCTGTGTGAAATCTCCGTGCTAGGTCTCTGTGTGAGGGACCATGGACTATATGAAGTCCCTGTGTGAGGACCCTGTGTGAGGACCCTGTGAAAGCCCTACAGAATCTCTGTGTGGAATGTTTGAGGGAATTCTATGTGAGAGGTTTCTGGGCAATGAGTGTGGAGCAACCTGAGGCCTGTGTGAGGAATCTATACAAGGTCTCTGTGGAGAGTGGGAGGTCTCCAGGCAAGGTCTCTGTGTGAGGAGGACTCTGAGAGAGGTCTCTGTGAGGCAGTGGGGGGTGCCGTGTGCCATTTCTGGGGCTGGAGGCCGGAGGTTGCAGTGAGCTGCATGAGTCTCTGCATGAGGTCCCTGTTTTATGACTCTGTGTGAAGTCTCTGAGGTCTTTGTGGGGTCTCTGTGTGAGATCTCCCTGTGAGAACCATGGAAGGTCTCTGACATTTGCGGGAGGTCTCTGTGGGACTGAGTGAAGTCTCTCAGCATGGCCTCTGTGGGGTTCTCTGGGTGAGGACTCTGGGAATCTCTGTGCTAGGTCTCTGTGGGGCACCATGAGGACTCTGAGAGCTCCGTGGGGTCTCTGTGGAGGCTGCAGTGTGTCTCTCTCTGTGGCAGTGAGAGGTCCCCGTGTGCTCACTCTGTACGAGATATCTCTGTGAGGTTCCTGTGGGAGGTCTCCGTGGGTCTCTCCATTGCTGGCCTCGCTGCATGTCATGGGAGACTGAGCTGCAGAAGGGCTAAGGGGTTGTTGTTTCCTGTGTTCTTGCTGGTCTCTCAGTGTTGCCTGTGGCGCTTCTCCTGGCCTGAGCCATGGGCTCCACGTCCAGCTCCTCCACATCCCAGAACTCGCATCTTGGTTTCCTGAGGGAACCCAGCAGCAGCCAGGCATGGCCCATCCTCAGTGGTCAGGGTCCCAGCTCTGTGCCACACTCTCCTGAGCTCCCGGAGGACCGGGGCTGCTCTCTGCTCCAGGTCCCAGCTCCTCCTGCTGATCCTGGCTCCGCTGTCACCGCTGGGCCCACCTTGGAGGCTGCTTCAGTTATCCGGGCCCCAGAGAGGACCTGGCCCCAGGAGAAGCCACAAGCTGGGGACTGTGCCCACTGCCCCCTGCACCCCAGTGCCGGCCAGTCCCACATGTTGGGGGCAGGGCCATTTCCATTGTCATCTAGATCAGTGGCACTGCCTGGCACTGGCCTCTCCACCATTGAAATGAGGCCCCCGGAAGTGGGCCTCTTGCACGCCTGTATGTGGCACAAGGCAGAGAAAACTCCCTCTAGAGACCTGGCTCCTCCTGTCCATGATTTGTGGAGACCTCCTGCTTTCCCATATGGACAGGGCCCAGAGAGGAGGAAAGCTGTGCTGAAAGCAGAGGGAGACAGCAGGGATGGCTCCTGTCCTGCCCATACCCTGCCCATTCTGGACAGGTCACTTCCAGCTCCCTTGTATGTTCAAATCCTGCCTGCCTGCATCTTCCCTTGCTGGTCTCTGGAACAAGCAAGGATGTCAGGAGCCAGGGGAGATTTGCTGTGTGACCCCAGCTCAGCTGCTGGGCCCTTGTAAGTCGCCACCTTTCCCCAGGGAGCAGTCCTGGGGCTACGTGTATATTAAAGGTCACCAGACTTCGACTCATGCCTGGGGTTCTCTAGTCCTTGCTTTTCCACCTATTGTCAACACATCCTTTAAAAAATTCAATAGGTAGGCCAGGCACCATGGCTCATGCCTGTAATCCTAGCTCTTTGGGAGGCTGAGGCCGGTAGATCACCTGAGGCGAGGAGTTCGAGGCCAGCCTGGCCAACATAGCAAAACCCCGTCTCTACTAAAAATATAAAAATTAGTCGGGCATGGTGGTGGGTGCCTATCATCTCAGCCACTTGGGAGGCTGAGGCAGAAGAATCACTTGAACCCAGGGGCCGGAGTTTGCAGTGAGCCAAGATTGCACTACTTCCCTCCAGCCTGGGCAAAACAGTGAAACTCTGTCTCAAAAAAAAAAAAAAAGTTCAATAGATTATTATGTGCAAGCTTATTGAAGATGTTAAGAAATTCATCTTCCTTATTCACTTTGCCTTCTCACTAATATGGCCCTCCGTGTTGGGGGTAAATGTGGTTTTTCTAGGGGTCTGTGATCTGGGAGCTGGAGCAGAGACAGACCCTGGGGTGTGGCCAGGATGAGACACTAGGCCCCTCTAGGCCTGTCTAAGGGGTTGGAATGTCAGAGTCTCCTGGCTCACGGCACCACTGATGGCTCCCTCACACACGCCACTTTGCCTCCTTTTCAATTCTCTGTCTGCATCCCCTGTAGCTCTACAGAGTCCCACCATCAGAAGCCTCTGCACACACAGGCATACCCTACTCCATTCACCCAGAACTACTTCGCTGAAGCTGAGAGACATGTAGGTGAGATAGACAAAGGCCGGTGACCCAGGAGCAGGGTCATTCACTCATCTGGGGCAGGGGAGTTCACGGCCCTCAGCAACCTCCATAAAGGCTGCCCCCCTGACCCCCTAGCCCCCACCTACACATGCACAGAGCTGGAAGGTCTGTCCCCACTGCCACTCCAGAGTGCGAGAAAGGGAGAGGCAGTGGGATGCGGACTCTCTGCTTTGCATGTTGGCTGAGCTAAGAGAGCCCATCTCCATCCCAGCCTTTGTCAGGGAGAGAAGGGGCTTCCCAGGGGCAGACGTTATCTATTCTCCACCAGGATACCCAGGGTCAAGACTTCTCCCACTTCTAAACTCAGGGCCCAGCACTCTCCCACCCAAACTTCCACTATTTTGTGACACATGAAGGTACTCGGCTGTGGCACTTCCTGGAGCCTGCATGGAGATGTTCAGTCCCGTGACATCTCTGCAAACCTTCTCCCTACAGCTGCATGAAGTTTGAGGTAGAGTAAGTAGTGGAAAGATGGGTTGAACCTTATTTCAGAGTGGGACCTTCATAGGTTTTTCTCATCTTGTTTTTAGAATTTTTTGTTGTTTGTGTAAAGACGGTATTACGGAAACATAAGGTTCAGTGAAGGAACTCAGGATGAAGGTGGGCTTACAGCACCACTGTCAACATCCCTCCATGTCCTGTCGCTTCTGGAAACCAAGCCCACACCAAGCATGGCACAAATAAAAGCCATCACCCTCTTATGAATAAAAAACCATATATATTGTGGTATATTAAATGTTCTGCATGTACTAACATGAGAGAAAATATTTTTTCTCTACATAGAGTGAATTTTTTCTTGGGGACTTCTTTTTCTCCAGGGAAGGCTAAAAAAGAATTTGTGACTGACCAAATCAGATACCTTCCCAAAGAAGACAGTGCCTTGGACAGTGGTGATGGTGGCTAGAGGCACCGGATGTCTTCGGCCAGTGCTGAAGGGGACTGACTGGGGATACAGCTTTCTTGGGGTGCAAGATTTGGGGATGTCGCAGGCCCCATTGCTCATTGTTGCACCGCACACTTTTCAAGGGCTGTTGATTTCTGATTTGCCTGTCTCTGTTGGGACAACCCTGGCTCTTGAGAGTGGCTTGTTGACTGCTGGCTGCATAGCTCAGTATTCTGCCGTGTTCTGAGTAGAAGAGGTGCCTGTGGTTGCAGGGAAACCCACAGACTGGGGCTTGAAACTTCTGTTTGTGCTGATTTACCTTCGAGGCATGGCGCGCATGGCAAAGTGACATTTTCTCGTCCAGCATTTGTCCAACTGCCGTCATGAGACCCTGAGCTTCAGCACTGCTGCTGTACACACATGATCTGTTTTTCACTGTTTTTTGGCTCTCAGCAGTGACTGGTGCTGGCTTGCTTTTTTTCTTTGAAAAAATCCACTGAAAAAATTGCTTGATGTTTCCTCCAAAGTGGCTTACTGAAGGAGGCTGTTTCTTTGATGGCAGTAGCTGGACGCCTTCATCCTGATGGGTGTCTTCTGTTTTCCTGACTGGGGTAAGTTGAGGAGTCCTCAATCCTTCAAGCCTTTCTTCATGTTTTTCTAAGTTGGGCTTCCTAGACTTCTCACTCTTGTGAATAGGGGGAAACATTGGCCTTTGGTTCTTGCATGAGCCTTGACAGTTTGGGTTTCTGGGCTCCTCGTGCACCAGTTTGCTCCTTCTGGCTGCCATAAGGTCATGTAGCTCCTGGGAAGCCCGCATGTTCCCAGCAGGCATGCTCTGGAGATGGCCCTGGGGCACTTGAGAAACCAAATTCTCTGAAGCGTGGGGCACAACAGATGCTTGCCCATCTGGAAGGAGCACAACAGCGGCACAAACTTGAGGCTGGGTCTCTGACTTTGTGGCCATTCCAGGCTCAAATTCATTAACAACCTCCTCCATAAGACACAGCTTTCTTGGATCTTGGGAGACAGACACTCTAGGGTGTAGAGAGCTTTTGCTGGTCCCTGGAGCCTCGAAACCATGCATATCCTCACTTGTGGCTTGGAGGTTTGCCAGCATACAGGTTTCCAAGGGGACTCTGCATTGTGGCACTGCCTCCCTTGTCTCTCCAGCCTTTGAAGATTGGGCTCCTAAGCTCCTGCTCTGCTGGGTGCTGCCTGTGAGGCTGTACGTGAGGGGCTTAGATGGCCACCTGCCCTCCTGTCCAGCTGGAGGAGGCTTCAAGGGCCCATGATCATTCCAAGATGGGATTCCTCGCGGTGCCCTCTGGAACTGCTTCCATGCAGGTGAGGAGGCCAGAAGACTCTCTGGCATGTGATCAGATGCTTTGGTCAGCACCTGCTTTCTCAGACTTGCCATTGGTGGCTTTCTAAGGAACATGTCCACCTCAACTTCTGAGCCAGCCCCAGATTCACAGGTGGCTGAGGAGGGACCAGCAAGCTGTGTAAGGGACAAGGATGAAACCTTTTCCAGTTTAAAGCACTGAATGGGCTTGAGGACCCTGAGGGGTAGACCCCACCTGTGTTTGGCCCAAAACCTCACAATATGGGCTCCCAACCCCTGCTGAGTACACGGCTCGAGGAAGGAAAGCACCTGGGCTGTGTTCACACAGGCTTTCCCACTTTTCGGGGCTGCTAGATTGCTGGTTTTCACATGGGTGTTGGACACGGGAAGAGCCTGGTTGACAGCAAGCCAGGATCGACGCACACGCACGGGGATCAAGCCCTCGTTGGTCTGGCCCAAGTTCCTGCCCATGTGGGCTTTCAGGATGTTTTCTATATGAGTCCTCTCTGTGCATCTTAATAAATCACTTCCCGAGTCACTCCTCAAGGGCTTCCTCAAGTTCCTTTCCGACTCCTCAGAAGTCACCCCCAGAACCTTCCGTGGGAAGCTTTTCATGTCCCTGGATAGATTTTGTGGGGTCTCACCCAGAATTTGCCCCAGATGTGGGCACGGGTCCCTCTCTAGCTGGAACTTCACCTTCTGTGCCTCCTTGCTGCTTTCACCTGTGGACATGGAGGACTGCCAGGGACTGGGTTTGCCCTTGGCCTGACTTGTCCCTGGTGATTCGTCCCGAAGCTGCATCAGATCCAGAGACTCTTGGATCCTTCCCAGGTTGCCCCAGTGTTGGATGATCCACTTTTTTATGTGTTGCTCCAGTTGTCTCCGGAGTTCAGGACTGACTGGAAAGTTCTCAGGCAGAATGGATGTCAAACTTTCCTGGGGAAGGTTAGGAGTGGAGACACTAAAGACGTCCTGAGATTTTTGGACCCTAGAGGGTAAAGCCAACCTACCTTCTAGTTGTCTCCTCAACAAAGGCCATTCAGGGTGCTGAGTTTCAGGTAGGGAGAGAGCTTGCACTTTATTCTGCGATGCAGGGCAAGCTACTCCAGTGTTCTTAATCAGGGATGGAAAAGCAGGAGATAGGACTGGGAAAGAAGATTGAAGATGGGCCTGAGCCTCGGCCTGAGCCATAGGTGTGGGCCGGAATTGGGGTGTGGATGAAATAAAGGGTTGGCACTCGGGCCCCAGATGGGACGGGGGCTGGGCCTGGAAAAGCAGTGGGGACATTGTAGTCTCCCTTTGAATTGGGCAGACATTGGACATTTCATTGAACAAGAAAGGAGGAGACTGTAAAGTATAAGACCTGTCAGTTACCCAGGCGTTAGCCACCAGGGACTCGCTGTGCAGAGAGGGGAGGCCCCAGAAAAGCTGGCTATAATTCTTCCAAAAACTTTCCTGCCAGAGCCTAGGATCTGAGAGCTTCTGAGGTCCGGGCAGCTGTTTCGAGTTCTCTCCCATGTTCCAGAAGGGTTTTGGGTTTGTGGTGTCCTGCTCAGCATCCAATGATTTAGCCAAATTCCGCAAAGAATTTAAGTGCTTTTCTGGGGTCATTCGATCTGTAAATGATCCAACATTTTCTTTTTCTTCCCAAATGTTGACCTTGGCTGTTTCTGTGACTTGTATCCCCACGGCATTCTGGCCATCAGAGCTGAGCAAAAACAGGCTACCAGCTTCCATCTGGTAGGTCTCTGGTGGGTGGCGGGAAAGATGATCTTGCTGGACTGATGAGTTAAAGGCGCACGAGGTTCTGGCAGTCTCCTGCCACCGGGAGGAGGCAGAAACATGACTGTTTGAGCCACCAAGGCCTGAGATGGCTGGGACAGAAGCCACCAAATCCTCATGTGGAGACAAGCTTTGAGGGACGGTGCCCAGTGGAAGTGCCACTGAGTCACAGTGAGATGGAGTTATCAGTGTGGAGTCCCGCAGGGGAGGAGCAGTGAAGCCTTTTGGAGGAGGCGGAGAGCAGGCCAGAGGATCAGGGGTGTGTGGTGGGTGAGGGAAAAGTGCAGGTGGCTCGGGTGAGGGGTGTTCTAGGGGAAGGGAAGGTTCTGGTGGCTGGGAGGCACTTAGGGAGGAGACTGAGGTGGTCATTGGGCCTGGTGATGGGGTGGAGGCCAGATCCTGAGGATGCTTGGCTTGAGGATCCGGGGAAGCTAACGGGGAGAGAATGGGAGCAGCATCTTCCATAGGCTCATGAGAGGACTGGGAGGCTCCATCAGGTGCTCTTTCGCCCACTTCACCTGGGGGGTCTGGACCGGAGAGCTGACCAAAGTCACCTTTGTCAAGGTGTGGCCCCAGGAGGCTGCAGGAGACAGGAGACACGAGCTGCAGCCAGGAGCCGGTGGGGCCGGAGGGCAGAGTGGGTGCTCGGGCCACAGCCCCTCCACCACCCCACACCCTGATTGCCCAGTTCTCCTGCTACCCCTCGCCCCAGGGTTTTACTCCCATCCTCTGTACCCCTGGTCTCCCCATCCCAGGTCAGCTCCAGGCTGCCTGTGGCCCTGGGGTCACGTCCCAGCCCTGGTAGGAAGGATGCAGGGAAGGGGAAGTGCCTCACCTCTGCAGTTGTGAAAGCAGGTCCGAAGTCTCCTGCAGGCCTCTCGGGCACTCTCTACCAGCTGGAAATCAGGAGACTGGGTTAGGGCAGTGAGGGAGGGGCCTGGGTTCTCACAGGAGGCTGAGTGGCTGTTTCTTTAGGGAGGACCATGGGGAATTAGACCCTGGGCCCCACCCATCTGTGTCCAAAGCCACATGACCCCGACGTTAATAGCAATGCATGGAGGACAGGGCTTTTTCATTCACAAAGGGCTTCCACACACGGACCCCCCACCCCCACAGTCCTCACAACTGCCCTGTGGGGAGAAAGGACTGAGGTGGTCTCAAAGAGGAATCAGCCTTAGCAGAGTTGGACTGCTGTTCCCAGGGAGCGGGAGGCCCCCTCACCCCCCTCCGCATCCAGGCAGGCATTGGTCTCCCCAGGACACACACACTGCCCCCTGCTGGGTAACGCCCAGTCCCTGGCCCACCATGGCTTCATTCCCGCATGGAATCTGAGAAGGACCCGGGGTTCTGATTTCCTTCCTAGGAGCCCCCACCTCAGGCTTCTTCAACTGACTTCTTCAGAGTCAGTTCCCTCCGGGACAGATGAGATCAAATTAACTCTAGTGTGCTCTGGCAGAGCCTTACCTCTCAGACTGTGGTTTTTCATCCTGCCTCTGGGCCTCCGCCTCCGCCCTACTGGACACTGGGAGACACGATGACGTACGGAGACAAGATGACGCGGAGAGACAAGATGACAATGGGAGACAAGAAAGGGTGAGAAGCTAGGACCGGCTCTCCCTCTCTGCCCCAGCCCAGCCGCAGCATGCTGCACTCAGGAACCGCATGGCTCTCTCTGTCTTGCTCAGGGAGCTCTGTGTGCTTCCTCCCACTCTTGTTTAAATGGATGATAAACTGCTTTTCTTCTTAGAAAAACAGCAAGAGGGGGCTGGGCGTGGTGGCTCACGCCTATAATCCAAGCACTTTGGGAGGCCAAGGTGGGTTGATCACCTGAGGTCAGGAGTTTGAGACCAGCCTGGCCATGGTGAAACCCCGTGTCTACTAAAAATACAAAAATTAGGCAGGCATGGTGGTGGGCGCCTGTAATCCCCAGCTATTCAGGACTCTAAGACAGGAGAATCGCTTGAACTCAGGAAGCAGAGGTTGCAGTGAGCCGATATCACTCCATTTCACTGCAACCTGCACCACAGAGCGAGACTCCATCTCAAAAAATAAAATAAAATAAAATAAAATAAAATAAAATAAAATAAAATAAAATAAAATAAAATAAAATGAAAATAACACACACAAATAAAATAAAAATACACACACACACACACACACACACACACACAGAGGGATTTTCAATATGAGGTCCACCACGGACACCTTCAGTCCCTGTTCCTCTGCTCCAGGAACACCCAAGTTCAGGCCCGCAGGCACTGCTGAGCTATCAGGTAGGATTCTGCTTCCCAGGAGACCAGAGGAGACACCAGGCCCTGGTGGGAGGCCCTCAGGGGCCCAGCACAGGCCCCAGATCACCCCACACAGGGGAGGCTGGGCCCTGAGCCACCTGCACCAGAAAGGGGCTGATGAGCCAGGGCTCAGGGCCTGGTCTCGGACAGAGACCTCCCCAGTCTCATGACTGGTACTGGTGCTGAGTCCACTGGTTTGATTTTGCCTTGATGCCTCCTGTGCTCCCCCACAGATGGACTGAGAGCTTGGGATGGAAATCCCAGTACACTATCTACCCCTACCAACCCCTGGCTGCCCTGCCTCTCCCTGGAAGGATGATGTTCTGGTCTCTTCTGAGACTTCCCATCATAGAAGGCTCTCCACTGGATTTGGAAAAGTGGAACTAATAATAAAAAGAAAGGAGAGAATCAAGCTCTGTGGGTTGGGACTGAGGGTTCCTTACCTTTCTCTTCCCAGGCGATGGTGAGGGTGGGTCATCACAACGGAAGTAAGATAAGTAGGGGAGTAATAGGAAGAAGAACCCCAGGGCAAACACCAAAGTGAGGAAGATATCCAACACCCATGGTGTGGAACTGGGGGCGTTTAGCGATGAGGCACTAAGTAATTTTAAAGGAAAGGGAAGATTCTCCATGTGAATAGGCGCGTTGCTTTCAAGCAACTGAGCTCTGGGCATCCCCGTGGGGACTAGGGACTGGGGCCCAGGCCTGCGTCACAGAGGTGGGGCCTTGATGTCACAAAGGGCTCCTTTGTTGGGGAGGCGCATAGGGAGGGGGAGGTGCAGCAGGAGGGGGAGGAGGAGGGAGAGGGGCAGGGGAGGGGGAGACTGAAGCACAGCCCCTCCCCACCCCCCAAGCTGGGGATCCCTCCACCATCCCACCTTCTAGATCCCTCCTTCCCACTAAGTTTTGTCAGTGATAGCCAATTTTCTATTCTTTCTCCCTGGAATATAGATATTACCTGGTTCCTTTTATCTGTTGGAGACGGTGGCTTGAGGTTACCTATTTTATAGCCCTTGAAAATCTGAAGTTCTGAAATTTTGGCTATGTACCAGGGATTTTTATTCTCAGAATCTCATTCATCCTCAACTCCAGCTTTCCCACACTATGTTTTTGTCTTGTATCAATCCAGGGACAAAATGTAAATTTCTTTTACTCTTATTTAGTTTTGCAAATTTTGAATAGTAAGTTTTAAAAAATTATTTCTATCTCACTTTCAATCAAAGGGAACTACCCACATACAATTAAGATTTTTTTTTGTCTTTTAAAATTTTATGTACTTATGTATTTATTTTATTTTAACTTTCGGGATACATGTGCAGGACATGCAGTTTTCTTACATAGGCAAATATGTACCATGGTGATTTGCTGCACCTATCAACCCATCACTTAGGTATTAAACCCAGCATGCATTAGCTATTTTTCCTGATGCTCTCCCTACCACCGGCCCTCCCTCGACAGGTGCCAGGGTGTGTTGTTTCCCTCCCAGTGTCCATATGTTCTCATTGTTCGGCTCCCACTTGTAAGTGAGAACATGTGGTATTTGGTTTTCTGTTCCTGTGTTAGTTTGCTGAGGATAATGGCTTCCAGCTTCATCCATGTCCCCGCAAAGGACTTGATCTCATTCCTTTTTATGGCTGCATAGTATTCCATGGTGTATATGTACCACATTTTATTTATCCAGTCTATCATTGGTGGGCATTGGGTTGATTCCATGTCTTTGCTATTGGGAACAGTGCTGCAATAAACATACACGTGCATGTATCTTTGTAATAGAATGATTTATATTCCTTTGGATATACAATAATGGTATATCTGCCACAGCCTCTGTACTGCACTGTGGGAATTCTGCCCAGCGCAAACCACCCAGTCTCCCTAGCACTGGTGGGGGAAAACCACCGGCTAGACCCGCAGTAATGGCAGTCACCCTTCCCCCCAGGAACTTGGTCTTCTTAGGCAGACTCCAGGTGCTGTGCTAGCCAGTGGGGATTCCATGCCAGTGGGTCTTAGCTTGTGGGGTTCTGTGGGAGTGGGTCTGCTTGGCTCCCTGGCTTCAGCCCTCTTCTCATGGGAGTTGATGGATCTCCTGCTTCACTGGATTTCTGCGAGCCACCAGAGTACGCAGAAACTCCTACAGCTCAGTACCTGCCCAAGTGGCTGCCAGCTGGAGCCCCTGCTATGGGTCTGCACAGCTTTGTGCTTGGGACCTAAGGCCCTGGTGGTGTGGACTCACAAAGGGATTACCTGTTCTGGGGTTTGCAAAAATCTGTGGGTAAAGCACAGTTCCCCGGTTGGGTAGCACAATCCCTCACTGCCTCCCTTGGCTGGAGGAGGGAGGTCTCTTTGCCCTGTGTAGCTCTTGGGTGAACTGTCGCCCAACTCTGCTTTTCCTTGCTCTCCATGGGTCACACCAACTGCCTAGTCAGTCCCAATGAGGGAATCTGGATACCTCAGTTAGAAATGCAGAATTCACTCGCTGTTTATGTTTGTCTCAGTGGGGGCTGCAGAGTAGAGCTGTTTCTACTCAACCAACTTGGCCCCTCCCCCCAATTAAAATAATTAATATTCAAAATTTGTAATTCTAATTATGAAACAGTTATAAGTAGTTAAACCTTCAAGTGGTATTTCTGTAAATGTATAGCATTCACAGTTCTGGACTTGGTAATGCTTAAAGTGCACGATAACTTATGGGACTGCTACATAGGCATACCTCAGAGATACTGTGGGTTTGGTTTCAGGCCACTGTGGAGATGAGCTCTTTAGGGCAGTGCCCAATGGAAGTGCCATTGAGTCACATTGAGACGGAGTCAGAATGCAGTCCAGCAGTGGGGGAGCAATGAAGGCTTTTGGAGGAGGTGGAGGGCAGGCCAGACAATGGGGGTGGGTATGATGGGTGAGGGGAAAATGCAGGTGGCTTGGGTGAAGGGCGTTCTAGGGGAAGGGAAGATTCTGGTGGCCAGTTCTGCAATAAAACAAATATGGCAATAAGGCAAATCACACAGAATTTTTGGTTTCTCAGTGCATATAAAAGTTAGGTCTATACTATACTGTAGTCTATTAAGTGGGCAATACCATTATGTCTAAAAAAGTCAATGTACATACCTTAGTCAAAAATTATTTTACTGTTTAAAAATGCTATCGATCACCTGAGTCTTCAACATCATGATCTTTTTGCTGGTCAGTGGCCTTGCCTCAGTGTTGTGGCTGCTGACTCATCATGGTGGAAGCTGCTGGAGGTGAGGTGGCTGTGGCAATTTCTTAAAATAAGACAACAATGAAGTTTGCTACATCAGTTGACTATTTCTTTCAAGATTCCTCTGTAGCATGCAATGCTGTTTGATAGCATTTTACCCACAGTAGAGCTTCCTTCAAATCGGAGACAATCCTCTCAAACCCTACCACTGCTTTATCCACTAAGTTTATGCAATTTTCTAAATACTCTGTTGTCATTTCAACAAGATTCACAGCATCTACACCTGGAGTAGTTTCCATCTCAAGAAACCACTTTCTTTGCTCATCCAAGTTCTCATTTGTTAAAATTTTGTCATGAGATTTCAGCAATTCAGCCACATCTTAAGTTCTCTTCACATCTTTTAATCTTAGTTCTCTTGCCATTTCCACCACGTCTGCAGTTACTTCTTGCACTGAAGTCTTGAACCCTCAAAGTCATCCATGAGGATTGGAATCAACTTCTTCCAAATTTCTTTTAATGTTGATATTTTGACCTCCTCCCATGAATCACAAATGTTCTTAATTTTAACCTCCTCCCATGAATTGCAAATGCTTCTAGAATGGTGAAACCTTTCTAGAAGGTTTTCAACTTACTTTGCCCAGATCTATCGAAGGAACTACTATACATGGTGGCTACAGCCTTATGAAATGTATTTCTCAGATAATCAGCCTTGAAAGTCTAAATTACTCATTGATCCCTGGGCTGCAGAATGGATGTTGTATTAGCAGGCATGCAAACAGCTTTAATTTTCTTGTAGTTCTCCATCAGAGCTCTTGGGTGACCAGGTAAATTGTCAATGAACAATAATATTTTGAAAGAGATCTTTTTTTAAAGCAGTAGTTCTCAGGTGTGAGCTTAAAATATTCATGTCGTAACAGATGTGATGTCATTCAGGCTTTGTCCCATTTATAGAGCACAGGCAGAGTAGATGTAGCATAGTTCTTAAGGGCCCTAGAATTTTCAGAATGGTAGATGAGCTTTGGCTTCAGGTTAAGCCCCTAACAAAAGAGTCATCCTGTTCTTTGAAGCATTGAAGTCAGGCATTTATTTTGCTACCTGGCTGTAAAAGTCCTGGATGACATCCTCTTCCAATATAAGGCTGTTTTATCTGCAGTAAAAACCTTTGTTTAGTGTAGCCACCTTTGTTGCTTCTCTTAGCTGATCTTATGGATGACTTGCTGCAGCTTCTACATCAGCACTTGCTGCTTTTCCTTGCAGTTTTATCTTATGGAGAAGACTTCTTTCCTTAAACCTCATGAACCAATCTCTGCTAGCTTCAAACTTTTTTTCTGTGGCTTCCCAACCTCTCTCAGCCTTCAGAGAATTAAGAAGAATTAGGTCCTTGCTCTCGATTAGGGTTTGGCTTAAGGAAATGTTGTGGTTGGGTTGATCTTCTATCCAAACCACTCAAACCTTCTCCATATCAGCGATAAGTCTCTTTCACTTTCATACCACTCATGTGTTCATTGGAGTAATACTTTTAATTTCCTTCAAGAACTTTTTCTTTTCATGCACAGTTTGGCTGTTAGGTGCAGGATGCCTAGTTTTTGGCCTGTTTCAGCTTTTAACATGCCTTCCTCACTCACCTTAATCATTTCTCACTTTTGATTTAAATAAGAGATGTGTGACTCTTACTTTCACTTGAACACATAGAGGCCTTTGTAGAGTTATTAATTGGCCTAATTTCAATATTCCTGTGTCTCAGAAAACAGGGAGACCTGAGGAGTTGGGGGGATGGAGGAAGGGCAGATCAATGGAACCATTCAGACACACATATGTATCAATTAGGCTCATTGTCTTTTGGAGCATGGTTTGTGATGCCCCAAAACAATGACAATAGTAATATTAATAATCACTGATCACAGATTACCGTAACAGATATAATAATAACAAAACATTTGAAATATTGCAAGAATTACAAAAATGTAACACAGAGATACAAAATAAGCACATGCTACCAGAAAAGTGGCACTGGTAGACTTGCTTGATGCAGGGTTGCCATAAACCTTCAACCTGTAAAAAATGCAATATCCGAGAAGCATAATAAAGTGAAGTGCAATAAAACAAGGTAAGCTTGTATATGTATGCATGCACACACCAGTACGCATCCACCTATCCACACACAAATCTTTGTACAAACAAATCCTGTATTTTCAATTCCAACAATACATCATTTGCACCTTAAAAATATCTGTCAACCTTGTAGTATCCTTTTCTGTCTTTGTTATCAGGGTAATGCTGGCCTCATAAAAAATGTTTGTATTCCCTCCTCTTCAACTTTTGGAAGAGTTTGTGAAGAAATGGTACTAATTCTTCTTTAAACATTTGCTAGACTTCTCCACTAAGCTATCTGGTCTTGGATTTTCCTTTTTCAGGAGCTTTTTGACCACTGACTCATTATTTTTACTCATTATTTGTGTTGATTTTCTATTTCTTCATGTTTCAATCTTAGGGGATGTATGTTTCTAGAAATTTCTCTATTTCTTCTAAGTTAAACAATTTGTTGACACATAGTTGTTTAGACTGTTATTATCCTTTGTGTTTCTATGGTACCAATTTTAATATCTGCTTTTTTGTTCTAATTTTATTTATTTGAGGCTTCTCTCTTTTTTCTTAGCCTAGTGAAAGGTTGGTCAATTTTTACTATTTTTATTTTATTTTATTTTATTTTTTTGAGACTCAGTCTGGCTCTGTCTCCCAGGCTGTAGTGCAGTGGCGCAATCTCCGCTCACTGCAAGCTCTGCCTCCTGGGTTCATGCCATTCCCCTGCCTCAGCCTCCCAAGTAGCTGGGACTACAGGCGCACGCTGCCCGGCTCTGCTAATTTTTTGTATATTTAGTAGAGGCGGGGTTTCACCATGTTAGCCAGGATGGTCTTGATCTCTGACCTCGTGATCTGCCCGCCTCCCAAAGTGCTGGGATTACAGGCATGAGCCACCGCGCCCAGCCATTATGTTTTCTTTTTTTTTTTTTTTTTTTTTTTTTGAGACGGAGTCTCGCTCTGTCGCCCAGGCTGGAGTGCAGTGGCGGGATCTCGGCTCACTGCAAGCTCCGCCTCCCGGGTTCACGCCATTCTCCTGCCTCAGCCTCCCAAGTAGCTGGGACTACAGGCGCCCGCCACTACGCCCGGCTAATTTTTTGTATTTTTTAGTAGAGACGGGGTTTCACCGTTTTAGCCGGGATGGTCTCGATCTCCTGACCTCGTGATCCGCCCGCCTCGGCCTCCCAAAGTGCTGGGATTACAGGCGTGAGCCACCGCGCCCGGCCTATGTTTTCAAAAAATCAGCTTTTTGTTTCATTGATCTTTTCTATTGTTTTTCTAGTGTATTTCATTTACTTCTGCTATCATCTTTGTTATTTCCTTCCTTCTTCTAATTTTGGGCTTCATTTTTTTTTTCTTTTCTATTTCTTTGAGGTTTATTGTTTATTTGAGATCTTTTTTCTTCATTTAGCACTTAACCTGTATAAACTTCCCTGTTAGAATTGCTTTTGCTTCATCTCATAAGTTTTAGTATGTTGTGCTTTCATTTTAGTTTGTCTCAAGATATTTTATTTCTTTTTTGATGTTTTCTTTGATCTATTGGTTGTTCAGGAGTGTGTTGGTTGATTTCCACATATTTGTCACTTTTCTAAGTTTTCTTCTGTTTTTAATTTTCAGTTTCATGCCACTGTGGTCAAAAAGAATACTTGATAAGATTTCAATCTTCTTAAATTTGCTAAGACTTGTTTTCTGGCCCAATATATGACCTGTGTAGGAGAATGTACTGTGTATGCTCAAGAATAATGTGTATTTTGCTGTTTTGGAAAGTAATGTCCTGTATATGTCTGGTCCATTTGATCTATAGTGTAGTTCAAGTCATCTGTTTCCTTATTGATTATCTGTCTGAGTGATCAATCCATTGTTGAAAGTGGGTTATGGAAGTCCCCAACTGTTATTGTATTATTGTTGTCACTTCTCTCTTCAGATTTGTTAATATTTGCTTTATACAATTAGGTGTTCCAATGTTGGGAGAATATATATTTGTAGTAATTATATCCTCTTGATGAATTGACCCTTGTATCATTCTATAATGACTTTCTTTCCCTCTTGTTACAGTTTTTGACTTAAAGTCTATTTTGTTTGTTGTAAGAATAGCTACTCTTTCTTTTTTTTTGTTCCCTGTCTTTCCTTTCAGTCTATGTGTGTCTCTAAAGGTGAAGTGAATCTCTTATAGGTGGCATATATTTGGTTATTGTTTTACTGTCCATTCAGCCACTCTGTGTCTTTTCTAATTTGGTCCACTGACATTTAAAGTAACTATTGATAGGCATTTTGCAGTTTCTTTGTTCTTTTATTTCTCTCTTGCTGTGCATGATTTGATTATTTTGATTATTTTCTGTAGTGGTATACTTTGATTCTTTTCTGTGTCTTTGTATTAATTCTTTTTTAAACATATGGTAAAATTCTCATTTGTGTAACTATTACATGTTTTGTCTTTGTGATTATCCTGAGGCTTCCATAAAACATCATATGCTCTCATGTGCCACATAAGGATGTTTTGGTCAATGATGGGCCACATATACAACGGTGGCCCTATAAGGTTATAACATTTTTATTGTATCTTTTATATGTTTAGATACATCTGGATACACAAATGCTTATCATTGTATTATAGTTGCCTATAGCATTCAGTATAGTACAATGCTGTACAGATTTGTAGCTTGGAAGCAATAGGTTATACCATATAGCCTGGGTGTGTAGTAGGTGGTATTATCTAATTTTGTGTAAGTATACTCTATGATATTCACACCATGACAAAATTGCATAATGAGGCATTATTCAGAACATATCCACATTAAGAAATGTATGATTATAGTTATAATGGTCTATTTTAAGTTGATAACAACTTAACTTCAAGCATATACAAAACCCTACACTTTACTCCCCTCCAGTTTTTATGTTTTTTTGATGTCAGCGTTTATTTCTTTGTTTATTTTGTAGTTATATTTATTTGTAATATTTTTTGTCTTTTAACCTTTTAAAAGTTAAAGTGATTATACTCCATCATTACAGTATTAGGAATATTTTGAATTTGACTGTATAGTTACTTTTACTGGTGACTTTTTATAACTACATATGTTTTTGTGATGCTAATTAGTCTTATTGCATTTCAGTTTGAAGAACTCCCTTTAGAATTTCTTATAAAGCAGGTCTAGTGACAATGGACTCCCTTAGATTATTTTGGGGGGTTTCTGAAAAAGTCTGTAAGTCCTAGCCAGAGCAATTAGGTAAGAAAAAGAAATAAAAGGCATCCAAACTGGAAAAGAAGTGAAAGTGTCTCTATTTGAAGATGACATGATCTCATATAGAGAAAATTCTAAAGGCTCCAATTAAAAACTGTTAAAATTAAGAAACAAGCAAATTTGCAGAACACATAATTAACATTAAAAAAAACGTGTTACGTTTTTATATACTAATAGTTGAGTATCCCAGAAAGAAATTAACAAAACAATCTCGGGCCGGGCACAGTGGCTCACGCCTGTAATCCCAGCACTTTGGGAGTCTGAGGTGGGCAGATCACAAGGTCAAGAGATCGAGACCATCTTGGCTAACACGGAGAAACCCTGTCTCTACTAAAAATAGAAAAAATTAGCTGGGCGTGGTGGCGGGAGGCTGAGGCAGGAGATTGGCGTGAACCCGGGAGGCAGAGCTTGCAGTGAGCCAAGATCACACCACTGCACTCCAGCCTGGGCGACAGAGTGAGAGTCCGTCTGAAAGAACACAATCTCATTTACAATAGCATCAAAAAATTAACTACTTAGGAAGAAATTTAAATAAGACAGTAAAATTTGTATATACCAAAAACTATAAAACACTGATGAAAGAATTTGAAGAAGATACATATCCCTATTACTCAGCGCGATCTATAGATATAATGCAACCCCATCAAAATTTCAATGGCATTTTTCAAAGAAATGGAAAAAAGCAGTTGTAAAATTTTTATGCAACCTCAAATGACCCCAGTCAAAACATCCTTCAGCAGAAAAAACAAAAGTGGAAGCATCACATTACCTTATTCCAAACTAAATTATAAAGCTATAGTAATCAAAATAGTATGCTACTGGCATAAAAACAGACATGTAGGCCAAGGGAACAGAATAGAGAGCATAGAAAGAAATAAATCCATGACTTTACAATCAATTGATCTCTAGCATTGGTGCCAAGAGTACACAATGATAAAATTTAGTCTCTTTATTAAATGGTGTTGGGAAAACTGGATATCCACATGCAGAAGAATGAAACTGAACCCTTATCTCACTGTACATACAAAAATTGTCTCAAAATGGATGAAAGACCTCAACATAGGACCAATATTGTAAGACTCTTAGATATAAATATCAGAGAAAAGCTCCTTGATACTGGTATTGGTAATAAATTTTCAGATTTGATACCAAAAGTATAGACAACAAAAGCAAAAATAGACAAATGGGAGTAAATCAAACTAAAAGCTTCAGCACAGCAAAGGAGACAACCAATACAATGAAAAGATAACCTAAAGAATGGGAGAAAATATTTACACACTATACATCTGATAAGAAGTTAATATCCAAATAAATTAGGAACTCAGACAATTCCAAAGGATCTTGTATTAGTCTGTTTTCATGATGCTGATAAAGACATACCAGAGACTGGGTAATTTATAAAGAAAAAGGTTTGGCCAGACACGGTGGCTCACGCCTGTAATCCCAGCACTTTGGGAGGCCGAGGCAGGCAGATCATGAGGTCAGGAGATTGAGATCATCCTGGCTAACATGGTGAAATCCTGTCTCTATTAAAAATACAAAAAATTAGCCAGGTGTGGTGGTGGGTGCCTGTAGTCCCAGCTACTTGGGAGGCTGAGGCAGAAGAATGGCGTGAACCTTGGAGGTGGAGCTTGCAGTGAGCAGAGATCGCGCCACTGCACTCCAGCCTGGGTGACAGAGCCAGACTCCATCTCCAAAAAAAAAAAGAGGTTTAATGGATTCACAGTTCCACGTAGCTGGGGAGGCCTCACAATCACAGTGGAAGGTGAAAGTCATGTCTTACATGACAGCCAGCAAGACAGGATGAAAGCCAAGCAAAAGGGGAAACCCGTTATAAAGCAATCAGATCTCATGAGACTTATTTACTACCACGGGAACAGTATGGGAGAAACTGCCCCCATGATTCAATTGTCTTCCACCAGGTCCCTCCCACAACATGTGGGAATTATGGGAACTACAATTCAAGAGGAGATTTGGGTAGGGACACAGCCGAATCATATCATTCTGCCCCAGCTCCTCCCAAATTTCATGTCTTCACATTTGAAAACAAATTATGCCTTCCCAACAGTCCCTCAACATCTTAACTAATTTCAGTATTAACTCAAAAGTCCACAGTCCAAAGTCTTATCTGAGACAAGGCAAGTCCCTTCCAGCTATGAACTCATAAAGTTAAAAGCAAGTTAGTTACTTTCCAGATACAATGGAGGTACAGGGAGCAGGTAAACATACCTGTTCCAAATGGGTGAATTTGGCCAAAACAAAGGGGCTACAGGCCCCAAGTCCAAAATCCAGCAGGCCTGTCAAATCTTAAAGCTCCAAAATGAACTCCTTTGACTCCATGTCTCACATCCAGGTCACACTTATGCAAGAGGTGGGCTCCCATGGCCTTGGGCAGCTCCACCCCTGTGGCTTTGCAGGACATAGCCCCCCTCTTGGTTGCTTTCATGGACTGGCATTGTCTGTAGCCTTCCTGTGTGCATGATCAAGCTTTTGGTGGCTGTACCATTCTGGGGTCCGGAGGACAGTGGCCTTCTTCTCACAGCTCCAGTAGGCAGTACCTCAGTGGGGACTCTGTGTGGGGGCTTCAACCCCATATTTCCCTTCTGCACTGTCCTAGCAGAGGTTTTCCATTAGGGCACCACCTCTGCAGCAAAATTCTTTCTGGACATCTAGGAGTTTCCATACATCCTCTGAAATCTAGGCAGAGATTCCCAAACCTCAATTCTTGACTTCTGTGCACCCACAGGCTCAGCACCATGTGAAACTGCCAAGGTTTGGGGCTTGCACCACCTGAATCCACAGTCCAAGCTGTACCTTGGACCCTTTTAGCCATGGCTACAGTAGCTGGGATGCAGGGCATCAAGTCACTAGGTGGCAAACAGCAGGGGGCCCCTGAAACCAGCCCAGGAAACCATTTTTTCCTTTTAGGCCTCTTGGCCTGTAATGGGAGGGACTGCTGCAAAGGTCTCTGACATGTCCTGGAGATATTTTCCCCATTGTCTTGGTGATGAACATTTGGGTCCTTGTTGCTTATGCAAATTTCTGCAGCCGGCTTGAATTTCTCCTCAGAAAATTCGTTTTTCTTTTCTATCACATCATTTGGCTGCAAATTTTCCAAAGTTTTATGCTGTTTCCTTTTAAAACTGAATGCTTTTAACAGCACCCAAGTCACCTCTTGAGTGCTTTGCTGCTTAGAAATTTATTCTGCCAGCTACCCTAAATCATCTCCCTCAAGTTCAAAGTTCCACACATCTCCAGGGCAGGGGCAAAATGCTGCCAGTCTCTTTGCTAAAACATAGCAAGATTTTCCTTGACTCCAGTTCCCAACAAGTTCCTCATCACTATCTGAGACAACCTCAGCCTGAATTTCATTGTCCATATCATTATTAGCATTTTGGTCAAAGCTAGTCAACAAATCTCTAGGGAGTTCCAAACTTTTTCACATTTTTCTGTCTTTTTCTGAGCCCTCCAAACTGTTCCAACCCCTGCCTGTTACCCAGTTCCGAAGTTGGTTCCACATTTTTGGATAACTTTACAGCAGCACCCCACTCTACCAGTACCAATTTACTGTATTCATCTGTTTGCATGCTGCTGATAAAGGCATACCAAAGACTGTGTGATTTATAAAGAAAAAGAGGTTTAATGGACTCACAGTTCCATGAGGCTGGGGAGGCCTTACTTATGGTGGGAGGCTAAAGGCACATATTACACAGCAGCAGGCAAGACAGAATGAAAGCCAAGTGAAAAAGGAAATCCCTTATAAAACAATCGGATCTTGTGAGGCTTATTTACTACCACAAAAACAGTATGGGGAAAACCGCTCCCATGATTCAACTATCTCCTACTGGGTCCCTCCCATAACACATGGGAATTATGGGAGCTACAATTCAACATGCGATTTGGGTGGGGACGCAGCCAAAGCATATCAGACCTGAAGAGATACATTTCTAAAGGACATACGATTGACAATAGGTATATATTAAGAAAAAGATGTTTGCCATCACTAATCAGCAGGAAAATGCACAATGAGATATCACCTCGCATCTATTAGGATGGCTTTTATAACAGTAAAAAGGTAACAAATGTTGCTGAGGATATTGAGAAACAGAAACCCTTGTGCTTAGTTGATAGTTGATGGGAATGTAAATTGGTACAGCCATTACAGACAACAGTATGTAGTTTCCTCAAAAAATTAAAAATGGAACTCCCATATAATCCAGCAATCTCACATCTGGGTATATATCCAAAGTAAAGAAAATCACTATCTCAGAGAGATATATATACTTACATGTTTATTACAGTGTTATTTACACAGCCAAGGTATGGAAACTACCTGTGTCCATTGACAGATGAATGGATGTTTTAAATGTATTACACACACACACACACACACAGACACACACACATATGTAATGGAATATCATTTAGCCTTTAAAAATGAGGAAATACTGCCATTTGTAACGAGATGGATAAACCTGGAGTTTATTATGGTAAGTAAAATAAGCCAGGAACAGATGCAAAAAAATCCTGCATGATTTCACTTATATGCATACTAAGAAAATGTCAAACTCATGGTAACAGAGTAAAATAGTGCTTACTAGGGCCTGGGAGTTGGGGGAAAAGAAAAAATGTTTGTCAGAAAGTACAAACTTTCAGTTATAAGATGAATAAGTTCTGGAGATCTAATGTACAGCATAGTGACTAAAGTCAATAATAATGTATACTTGAAATTTGCTGAAAGAGTAGATCTCAAGTGTTCTCCACCACACAAACACAAATAAAAAGGTAACCAGGTGAGGTGATGAATATGTTAGCTTGATTGTGGTAATCATCACTTCACAATGTATATGTATATCAAAATAACACACTGCATACCTTAACTATATACAATTTTTCTTTGTTAATCAATAAAACTGGCAAAAATATCTTTTACATGTTGCCTTGACTCCATTTCTTATTTTGTCAAAATAGATAGTCCTCACTGTTTGCATAAGTTTAGAAACTTGTGCTACATCCAGAAGTCAGGAGTGCAGTAGGGTGAACTAAGTTACTGATTCTTTAGGAAACTTAGGGTGTGAGGTGGGACTGGAGTTCAAGGTCTAGGAGCTCAGTCTGGTCTTGAGCAGCTTCTTTTTCATTTTGTTTTGTTTTGCTTTGAGACTGGGTCTCACATTCTTGCCCAGGCTGGAGTGCAGTGGCAAAATCTGGGCTCTCTGTAACCTCCGCCTCCCAGGCTCAAGCAATCCTCTCACCTCAGCCTCCCATGTAATGGGAACCACAGGCATGTGCCACTATGGCTAGCGAATTTTTTTGTATTTTTGGTAGAGATGGGGTTTCCCTTGCTGCCCAGGCTGGTCCTGAACTCCTGAGCTCAGGTGATCCACCCACCTTGGCCTCCCATAGTGCTGGGATTACAGGTATGAGCCACCATGCCTGGCCATGAGCAGCCTCTTCTGATATCCCTAGTGTGTTCTGTACACATTTTCTTTGTCTGAATGCGCCTTTCCTTTCTCTCTATTGGTCTACAGATTTTTTCCTTCTTTAGGATATTATTAACTTGAATTCAAATTTTTATCAAAAATTGGACCTAGCTCTTTTTATTCATATTTTCCTGCTATATTTTTTACACTAATTTATTTTCGATAGGTTTTATTGAGTGTTTTTTTGACACTTAAAAATTTTACCTGACAATCTTAACCTTTGATTTATGTAATTATTGTTCCATTATGAGTTATTTCTGTCATCTCATTTTATGATTTTTCATACTTTCTTTACTGTTTATTTTTTCCTATTGTACCTTTCACTCTATAGATCAAATCTTTTTCTATTTGTTTGAAATCTGGAAATTTTTAAGATTGTAATGGTGGTTATATCATTATTTATGTTAATTTTCTCAATTTCTGATATGTGTCAAAATTAATATCATCTCAGCAAACAAGATAAGTGCTCTAGCCTCCTCTTGCCACCTCTGGTTTGCTTTCTCTGTTACGACAGCACTTTGTCTAAGGGGGTGCTTTCTGAAGTTTACTTGGGGTTGTTTTCAATATGTTATGTTTTCATTTATTTTTTAGAGTATGATAAACACCACTACCATTGATTCTGGAACCCTCAATTCTAACACCACGGTGTATTTCTCTTCTTAGTGGAGTATGACCTCTAAGCATTTTCAAAGGGATTTATTTGAAATAAAACTTTTGAGGCCTTACTTTTTAATGTCTTTTTCTGGGCTTTCATATTTAAAAGATTGTGGCTGCAAATAATTCAAGGATTAAAATTGGTTTCCTTTTAATCCTTGAAAAATATTACTTCATTTTATTCTTGTCTCCAGCATTGCTGTTGGAAAGGCTGACACCAATCAAAACCAATTTTTCCCTAAAGGATGATCTGTCTTCTCATCATTTTGACAGGATGTAACAAAACAAAGGAGTCTTCAATGTTCTGAGTATAAATCATTTTGCAATTATAAACTTAACTTAATATTAATGCAATACAAAAAGAATTAAAACCTTCTTGAGACATGCAAGTGCACAGGAAAATTAAGTATCATGCACTCATTCAGGAAGAAAAGGTGCAAAAGAAATCTAATGAAAGAGATGGTCGTTAGATGCAAGTGTGGCTGAATGTAGGGATGCGATGCTGACACGTGGCAGCAGGCCTGGCAAGCTGTCTATCCCAATTCAACTACTTCAGAAAGAGAAGAATATTAACTAGGCTATCTTGGTGATGTGCTGAAAAAAGTGCTGTGTTTCCTTTTTAATCATTCAAAACAAAGGTAGTAAAATTCCCGGGAAATAAGAAATAATGCATCATAAATGTATAAAAGTTGAGGAAAATACTATATTTTTATGAATTTAAAATGCCATCTCATTTAGATTGTTATGTCTTTCCAGAAGTGCTTTAAAATTGATGGCACATAGTAAAAAATGGCATAAATTCCAACAATTAATGGAAAAACATTAATCCATCTTCTTGAGTCTTGGAACCAGGATTCTTTTGGGAGGCTTCGGTGTATCTGTGTATCATTTCATTGCCTTCACACAAATCAAATCACGCCACCTGCGACTGTGGTTTGAAAAAAAAAGAAAACATAATAATGATGCTGTCAATTCACTTGAGATTCCATGATCAAAATTAACCTACGAACAAAGCACAGACTTTATTATAATTACAAAATAGGATGTAATTTACATAAAATGTGAAAATATAAGCATAGAACGAAATTTGATACAAGTCGAAAGCTATGACAGGGACTGTTGGAGGGGAGGGAAGTTGTACACTAATCTCCACATCCTACTGAGCCAATCAGTGGTGTTCAAATTGGATGGACCATATATTATCTAAACAGTATATTATTTAAGCAAAGAATTAAGCACTGTAAGTATATTATTTAGAGAAAGCAAATTTTTAAAAAATCCCATAAAATTATATATTAAAGACTAAATTGGAAATATAGTTTTAGAAGAAGAAAGTAGGGTAAAGGAGCTATATTCTCTACCGTTCATAAAAAGTCAAGGGATATTACTTAAAATTGTTAAAACAAAATTAGGTGATTGTATAATATTAT
Organism: Homo sapiens; assembly: GCF_000001405.40. Lineage (NCBI taxonomy): Eukaryota > Metazoa > Chordata > Mammalia > Primates > Hominidae > Homo > Homo sapiens. The sequence continues at coordinate 39,340,287 of NC_000009.12, read as the reverse complement.
TTACAGTTCAAGAGAATAGCATATAGTAAAAAAAGAAAATGATAAACCTTGCCTAACTCTGAAAAACAGGACCAAGGTCTATGGAAGGAAAAAAAAAAGTTTCTGGTTTTCACTGGTTTTTTGCCCATCAAACTGTTTGAATGATTTTCAATGCACATGTGTTGGTTTAATTTTAAAATGTTCTTACTTACAGATCCCCTTGAATTACGTGTAAAATTAGGTTTCCTTTAGTCAATGGTGTATGAAAAGTAATCAACTCATCTAATTGAAGTTAGACATTAATAAATAATAAATTGGGGAGAATATACTCATTAAAAACAACCAGAACATAGCACTTGGCTCTATGTTCTGCTTATCTAGGAAGTGGAATTCTTAAAATTAAAACAAAATAATAAGGAGCTTCACATTTTCTTTTTCTTCTTTTTTTTTTTTTTTTTTTTTGAGATGGAGTCTTGCTCTGTTGCCCAGGCTGGAGTGCAGTGGCACGATCTTGGCTCACTGCAACCTTCACCTCCCGGGTTCAAGCGATTCTCCTGCCTCAGGCTCCCGAGTAGCTGGGACTACATGTGCGCATCACCACGCCCAGCTAATTTTTGTATTTTTAGTAGAGACGGGGTTTCACCAGATTGGACAGGATGGTCTCGATCTCTTGACCTTGTGATCCACCTGCCTCGGCCTCCCAACGAGCTGGGATTACAGGCATGAGCCACTGCACTTGGTCGGAGTTTCACATTTTCTGAAAAATGTTAGAAATAAAAATGCAAGTGTTTCACTTAGATAAAGCTCTCATAATCACTGGTAGACTAAAGTCAATTTAGATTACCATTTATATTTTCAAATTTATAATATGACCAATATTGCCATCAAAATGTTCAGGCACAGAATGGTTTAAAGTAGCTGTCTTATTATTTCTCAATATTCTCTTTTCTTCTATGATTGGCATCACCAATCATGGTTGGAGCATCTTTTTTTTATTTTATTTTTTATTTTATTTTATTTATTTATTTTGAGACGGAGTCTCACTGTGTTGCCCAGGCTGGAGTGCAGTGGCGTGATCTCGGCTGACTGCAAGCTCCACCTCCCAGGTTCTCACCATTCTCCTGCCTCAGCCTCCCGAGTAGCTGGCACTACATGTGCACACCACCATGCCCAGCTAATTGTTTGTATTTTTTAGTAGAGACAGAATTTCACCGTGTTAGCCAGGATAGTCTCAATCTCCTGACTTCGTGATCTGCCCGCCTCAGCCTCCCAAAGTGCTGGGATTACAGGCTTGAGCCACCGCACCCAGCCATGGTTGGAGCATCTTACCAAGGAACTATACTTGTAGTTTTTGAGTGGAAACAAGGGAGAAATTTTATTCATGCCTTGACCTAATTAATAATGCGTAACTAGATTGTGATGGCCATTATCAATAGAACTGTCATCCGATTCAAAGAGCACTGGGCCGGGCGCGGTGGCTCACGCCTGTAATCCCAGCACTTTGGGAGGCCGAGGCGGGTGAATCATGAGGTCAGGAGATCGAGACCATCCTGTCTAACAAGGTGAAACCCCGTCTCTACTAAAAATACAAAAAATTAGCCGGGCGCGGTGGCGGGCGCCTGTAGTCCCAGCTAGTCGGGAGGCTGAGGCAGGAGAATGGCGTGAACCCGGGAAGCGGAGCTTGCAGTGAGCCGAGATTGCGCCACTGCAGTCCGCAGTCCGGCCTGGGCGACAGAGCGAGACTCCGTCTCAAAAAAAAAAAAAAGATTCAAAGAGCACTGTTTGTCTCCTCTAATATGGAGAAATGCCACAAATAAGTGGGAAATAATTTAATGACTGTAGTTCATTTTTAATCATATAGCTGAGTGATATTTTAAGTCTGACAAGAATAGATATTTGAACAAAAATAGCCAATTCTCTGTTACATAATTTAATACATTTGTGTTAAGAGGTTTAGACAATAAAGTTAATTTTGAAATGCATTATAAATAACTGAGTAATTAGCAATCATTAAGTTTATTTTTAAATAAGTATTTAGATAACTAATTAGCAATCATTAAGTTCATTTTTAAATAACTGTTTAGTCCACAAAAAATAAAAAATATATTTTAGAAAGGGAGGGTATTCCAAAATCTGTCTCAGGAGCATTCAATCTCAAATATATTTTAATGAAGCAGAAATGTAAATACATGTTTAGATAATTTAGGTTAAAAAAGGTAAATTTTGGTTGCCTGCTTAACTTTTATGAAACAGATATTTTTCATTCAAGTCCAGCATATATTTTGCTATGACTTTCACATCCTTTCCTCAGAGACTATTTACCTAAACATTAGGGTACCAAAGGAACTAGGAAACAAAAACTTGTTAGAGAGAGAAATTTTAAGTGAGGCACACATTCTGGTGATATTAATTTGTTTTTGACATTTTATTAATATTTTGAGAACACTAAGAAAATAAAATCCAAAGGGGCAAGCAGGTATCATTGTCTCAGCCTGGGCCCTCTTTTGTCATCCTCTGTAAGATGGCAGTCATCAAAGAGCGTGACCCAAGAAGAAAGTAAAACAGTGGAACAAATGAGCATTTCTCTAAATACAAACAGTAGAGTCCCTGAGAAAGAATCCTTTAAGGCCTTAGATTTCTTTAAACATTTTTAGATAAATAGTCTGGCCTATGCAGAACAAAATGAAATGGTGATAATGAACAGGATAGTGAAGTTTTGTACTAACTGACATAAACGACGAGTTGATTAATGCTTAGGATAGTGTGAAAGAAGAATTGAAAGCAAAATGCAAATCAAAAGAAGAAATACCCAGACAGACTCTTTCCTAAAACATGCATCATAAAATATTTAAAAGCATCTGCTTTAATGCATGGGCTGAGTCAAAGTAAGGCAAATTTTCAGATATCTACAAGAGCAAAAAAAGTTTGAATCCAGAGGTGTGAGTGTCTCATCTGGCATTTGCCCTGGGGTGTCTCCCAGGAACTATTGGCCCAGAACCATGAGCGCCTAATTCAGGAGACAGAGACTGATGCCCATGCAGGGAGGAATATAGGCTAAAATGCCTCCTGCATAAATCTAGGATTTCTAAAGAGAAGCATGTTAAGTGGGGCTAGGAAAATCCCACTCCCATAAGAAGAAAGTGAAAATCTATGCTTGTCTTGGTTTCAATAGGGTAGACAAGAAAAAAGAAAAAAAAAATGGTAATTTCTAAGTATAAGTCAATAGACATATTGGTTTGGATTTGAATTCACACTATCTATGGGCCTGAGAAATACCAGGATGGAAATTAGCCTCTGGCAGTGAGAGGTTAGGCCAGCTGCACTTCCTGGGTCGAGTGCGGACTTGGGGAACTTTCCTGTCCTACAAGGAATTTGTAAAATGCACCAATCAGCCTCTGTAAAACACACCAATCAGCAGGATTCTAAAAGTAGTCAATAGTGGAGAGGATTGAAAAAAGGGCACTCTGATAAGACAGAAACGCAACATGGGTGGGAAGAAATAAGGGGATAAAAGCTGGCCACCCGCAACCAGCAGCAGCAACCAGGTGGGGTCACCTTCCAGGGTGTGGAAGTTTTGTTCTTTCGCTCTCAGCAATAAACCTTCCTAGGCTCACTTTTTGGTTCCGTGCCATCTTTAAGAACTGTAACACTCACCAGGAAGGTCCACAGCTGCATTCTTGAAGTCAGGGAGACCACGAACCCACCGGAAGGAACCAACTCTGGACACAGTCCTGCAAACTAGTTAATCTGAGTACAATCATAAAGAGAAATATATTTTGCACTAATACTGGGAAACAGATTTTGTAACACAGCTTTCATTGTTGTTAAGTGAAGATAGTATATTTTACAATAAGCAACACTGGGACCACTGATCTCCATAAGGGAAAAAAATGAAATTGAAACTTAATCCTGGAGAACAAACATAAAAATATATTTTAACGGATAAAGATAGCTTCTCAACATTTTTAGAAAAAAACCTGGGAAGAATTATTTTTTTCTTTTTTGAGATGGAGTCGCTCTGTTGCCCAGGCTGGAGTGCAGTGGCGCGGTCTTGGCTAACTGCAAGCTCCACCTCCTCTCCCATGTTCATGCCATTCTCCTGCTTGAGCCTCCGGAGTAGCTGGGACTACAGGCGCCCGCCACCCCGCCTGGACTAATTTTTTGTATTTTTACTAGAGACAGGGTTTCACCGTGGTAGCCAGGATGGTCTCGATCTCCTGACCTTGTGATCTGCCCACCTCGGCCTCCCAAAGTGCTGAGATTACAGGCGTGAGCCACCGCGCCCGGCCATATCTTTTATCTTTACCTGGGGAGGAAGAACAAACTGAAAGAGGAAAAATTGATTTGATAACACAAAAATTTAATACTTCTGTTTATTAAAGGATACTGCAATGTGAAAAAAAATACCCAAAACTTGGCAGAGCTATTTGCAACACATCTTACCTAGAAAGGTCTGGTATCCAGAATATGCCTCCTATAAATAAGTGAAAAATAACATGTCTGTTGAGAAGTTAGCACAAATATCCCATAAGCATGTAAAAAGTGCTCAACCTCATAATAATCATGAAAATGAAAATTAACAATTAGATATCCTTTCACACATATTGACAATTTTTTTATGAAGTTCCGAAACGTGTGGTATTGGCAAGGATAAAGAAACATGGAAGTATTCATCCCACACACTAAAGTAGGACAGCCATTTGGAAAACAGACAGATGCTGGCTCATACAGCTGATCATAATGTACCCTATGACCCAGTGACTTCACTACAACCTAGTGCAACCTAGTCAGCCTGTTACAGGCCCCAGAAAAATTCTTGCGTTTGTTTACCTAGAGATATATGAGAATGTTCCCAATTTCAAAAACCTGGAAACAATCTAGTTATCTCTCAATATGGGTAGATAGTGGACTGGGTAACTAAATGATCATATATTCCGATAATAGAGTACCTCGCAGCACTAAGAGTGAATGAACTGCAGCTATTCACATTCTCAAATACAGCACTGCAATGAGATACTACTGCATGCGTATTAGAAAGGCAAAAATCCAGAACCCTGACAACACCAAATGCTGATGAGGATGTGAAGCAACAGGAGCTCTCATTCAGTGCTGATAGAAATACAAAATGGAGAACAGTTTTGTGGCTTCTTAGAAAACTAAATCTACTCTTATTATACGACCCAGCAATCTTGTTTCTTGGTATATATCCAAAGGAGTTGAAAACTTATGTCCACACAGAAACCTGCACACAGATGTTTATGGAAGCTTTATTTATAATTGCAAAAACTTGGAGACAAGCAAGATTTCCTTCAGTAGGTGAATTAACAAACTGTGGTACATCCAGACAATTGAATATCATTCAATGATAAAATAAATGAGCTGTTGGCCGGGTGAGATGGCTCACGCTTGTAATCCCAGCACTTTGGGAGGCCGAGGCAGGCAGATCACGAGGTCAGCACATAGAGACCATCCTGGCTACCACGGTGAAACCCCGTGGCTACTAAAAATACAAAAACTTAGCCAGGTGCAGTGGCAGGTGCCTGTAGTCCCAGCTACACGGGAGGCTGAGGCAGGAGAATGGCGTGAACCCGGGAGGTGGAGCTTGGCTTGCAGTGAGTGGAGATCACGCCACTGCCCTCCAGCCTGGGCGACAGAGCAAGACTCCCTCTAAAAAAAAAATAAAAAAATAAAATAAATAAAATAAAAAATAAAAAGAGCTGTCAAGCCACGAAAAGACACAGAGGACGCTTATATGCATATTACAAAGTGAAAGAAGCCAATCTAAAACGGCTACATACTGTCACTTCCAACTATATGACCTTTCTGGAAAAGGTAAAACTATAGAGATAGAAAAAAAAAAATCAGTGGTTTCCAGGAGTTAGGAGGAAGAGAGGAATGAATAACTAGAGCACAGAGGATGCGTAGGGCCCTGAAAGTACATGTATGATATTTTAATAGTGAATACTTGTCATTGTAAATTTGTCCAAGCCCAAGTGTGAACCTTAATGCAAACTATAAGATGTATCATGTATCATTAATTGTAACAAATGCAGCACTCTGGTGGGGGGCGTTTATCATGAGAGAAGCTATGCATGTGTGGGGGGCAGGGAGTATATGGGAAATCTATACCTTCTGCTCAGTTTTGCTGTGAACTTTAAACTGCTCTAAAAAATAATGTGTGTGTACATGTGTGTATATATATATATATATATATATATATGCATACACATGTTTGTGTGTATGCATATCTAATCACAAGAAACAATACATAGTTGGCCAGGCACGGTGGCTCACGCCCGTAATCCCAGCACTTTGGGAGGCTGAGGTGGGCAGATCATGAGGTCAGGAGATCGAGACCATCCTGGCTAACACGGTGAAACCCCGTCTCTACTAAAAAAAATATAAAAAATTAGCCAGGCGTGGTGGTGGGCACCTGTAGTCCCAGCTACTCGGGAGGCTGAGGCAGGAGAATGGCATGAACCCGGGAGGCGGAGCTTGCAGTAAGCGGAGATCACGCCACTGCACTCCAGCCTGGGCAACAGAGGGAGACTACGTCTCAGAAAAAAAACAACAAGAAACAATACACAGTTTCACTTATTAAAAAAGTCAAACATGTGCAAAACTAAACAATATGCAAGTCTATAATGACAAGCAATGGAATGATTAACAGGAAGTTAGGGATAGTGGTTACCTCTTGTGGAAAGAGTGAGTGGCATTGAAGAAGGGCAATGGGAGTTTCTAAGATACTGGAAATATTCTATTTCATAACCTGAAGGAAGGGCGCATATGCTCATTTTATATTCTTCTTAAGCTGTACACACACACTTTTATATTTATGATCTATTTCATTAAGTAACAAGACATATATATGCATTTGTAAATAAGTGAGATTAACACATTTTTGGATACATATAACATATCAAAGTTGACTCAAATAATTAGAAAATCTAGATGGAAATCATACCATTAAAGTAATTGAGTTAATAATTAATAATTCTACAAAGAAAACATGATGCCTAGATGATGTCACCAGTAGCTCCAATGTTACACTAATAATCTGCGAGGGGAAAAAAAAGAGACCATTCTTTAATTCATATGATACTAGGATAACCTTGCTATGGTGTACCTCATCCATGCACACAGACAAATAGTGTAAACAAAATACTAGGAGGTATACCTAGCAAAGTATAAAAACCATGAACAAGCTCGGTTAGTAATGCAAATTTAGTTCAGTGTTAGAAAATCTACTGAAATTATCTCCTTATCAACAAATTAAAGACAAAAATTATATGATTGTCTCAAAAGGCCTATAAAATTATTTTACAGCTGGGCACAGTGGCTCACGTCTGTAATCCCAGCACTTTGGGAGGCTGAGGCGGGTGGATCACGAGGTCAGGAGATTGAGACCATCCTGGCTAACACAATGAAACCCTGTCTCTACTAAAAAAAAAAAAAAATTAGCTGGACGTGGAGGCGGGCGCCTGTAGTCCCAGCTACTCGGGAGGCTGAGCCAGAAGAATGGTGTGAATCCGGGAGGCGGAGCTTGCAGTGAGCCGAGATCCCGCCACTGCACTCCAGCCTGGGCCACAAAGTGAGAATCCCTCTCAAAAAAAAAAAAAAAAAAAATTTACAAAAATTAAATTATTGATATTTCCACCTATGAATAAAGGGTAACTTCCTTAACCTGATAAAAGGAGTCGACAAATAACCTACAGCACCTATCATGTTTTGTGATTAAAAATATTGAAATCACTCCTTTTAAAATCAAGAAAAAGACAAGAGTACCATTGTCACTAAACTGCTTCCAAAGCTTATACGGAAGAGAAAAGGGCCCAGTATAACTAAGACAATCCCATAGAAGACTAAAGTGTGCGAAGGTGGGAGGTGGAGCTTATGTGAGTCTATCTCGTACCAGATTTGCTGTGAAGTTATAATTACCACAGCAGGAATTGCTATTGTGAAAGTGTATGCTTGTGTGAAATCTTGATGTATGCCCTGGCTAACATTACAGAACAGTCAGAAAGGGTCTATATGATCCATGGTATGAGCAATTGGTATCCATATGGGAAAATATCAGAATGCATCTCTATCCCAAAAATGGATCCCTATCACACAAAGGCCAGATCTAAATGGACAAAGGACTTAAATTTGAGATGCAAATATTTAAAAATCTTTTAGAAGAAAATATAAGAGGGTAACTTATTACATGCCACACCTACTATGTGTACTTTGTACGATGCAAGTGTTGGATATGAGTGTAGTATGTAAGTGTAGATGCCTCTAAGCAGTATATGCATGCTTGCTACTTTACACACGTGAAACACTGGGAATGGGAGCATGAGAGGAAACCCTAGGTCATTCTGGTCTCCAGACTGCTGCTCCTGCCCACCCCCGGTTCCAGCACTCCCTTCCCCATTCTCCTATCCAGATCCTCTGTTCCAGGCACAGCCACTTACAGCAGCTCAAGCCAGTGGCACCCACGGAGAGGCCCTCTTCACCCTACTGCTGGGCTGTCATGTCCCCTTTCTTTTCTTTCTGAAAAACAGTTTTCTCTGCCTATGACTCCTCATGTTTCACTCTCTCTAAAGCACACGGAAGCCTGGTTCCCTCCTCTGCTTTATCAGACCTGTTGCTGTGAGTTCCACTAGTGACCCTGCATGACAAATTCGGAGGTTTGCTCCCTTTTGCATAGCATAAAATGTTTACCTCGTGACATACTTGATAAATACAATTTTATAATTGTTAAGCTATCTATATATTCTGTATCTGTTTCAAAAATTATTTATAGGCGAGGCAAGGTGGTTCATGCCTGTAATCTCAGCAGTTTGGGAGGCTGAGGCGAGAGGATCATGAGGTCAGGAGATCGAGGCCATCCTGGACAACATGGTGAAACTCTGTCTCTACTAAAAATACAAAAATTAGCTGGGTGTGGCAGCATGCACCTGTAATCCCAGCTACTCAGGAGGCTGAGGCAGGAGAATAGCTTGAACCCAGGAGGCGGAGATTGCAGTGAGCCAAGATCGTGTCACTGCACTCCAGCCTGGCGACAGAGTGAGACTGCGTCTTCAGCCCCCCCAAAAATATAAAGACAATGTCAATTATGCCACACATAGGTTGTTTTTATTCCATAATATTGCTCTCCATATGTGTAATATGTTTCTACTTCACACATAGTTTTGATCAAAGATTAATCTATTGCACAGATATTTTTCTTAGTAATTAATAAAACTCAGCTTGGATTTCTTTAGCTAGATAAAACACCTTATACTAAGTGAATCAATCAAAGCTCTTTGTTGGAGTGAGATCTGAAAACTTTCGCTCAAGCTGGCTGCCTCAGCTTCACGGCATCAAATAATGGAGGGAGAAGTGGAGGCTGACATGCAGCAAGAATGACTGTGTGTGTGCTGGAGAGATATTTTGTTTAATTCATTTACAAGATACTCATGCCACACTGCTATGTGCCAAACAGCTGTTCTTGCTACTTGGTAAAAATTAATCATCTAATAGTTGAAAAGTTAATTGTTGTAATGTGACTTCAGTACGGCCAATCTCCAGGATTGAGAGCCAAAAAAAAGCATCACCATCATGATTGAGAAATGGAGTTACTGGCAGTAATGGAGCAAACCACGATTCTGCACTTGGACACAGAATTATTCCTGACAAGATCCTGGCTCCTAACTCTTCCACCAAAACCGAGTCTGCAGCTCCCACACTGAAATGCTGCTCATTTCACCCCAAGTGTGTTCCAGCCGTTCCTTCTTCTTCTCCTTCCTACCAGCTCTGTAATGTCTCCATCACAATGCTAAGGTCAGGGTCAATGGCACTTCGTTTCAGAAACTTTCTGAGAGCCCTGGAAAGTAATCTCTTCTTGTTCTTATTCTATGATCTCCTGCACCTTCTTTAAATCACTGATGATCATTTGTGTAGATGAGTTGTCTCCGTGTGTGTCTGACCTTTCTCCCAGTTGGTGAGTTTTGGAATCCAGGAAACATTTTAGTAAAGTAATAGTTTTTAGTAATTTAGTTCACCTCTGTGCACCCTACAGCCGTTTCTCACATGTTGGGGCTGCCCAGTGAGCACTTGTTGAGGGAAACTGCAGGGAGACTTGCAGGTCAGCTTCACTGAGCCAGAAAGTGAAGCAAACTGAGAGGGCAAAGTGCAAGACACTGGCTGAAATATATGAACACACTGGGGAAACAAACATTCCCGGCCTCTGTGGAGGTGGAACACAGTCGCTGAGGTCTGTGATTCAGCAGCACCCACCTGGCAAAGCATGCTCAGCATCGGGCTTCGTTCTCCCATAGTGCTTTCATGGCAAGGAAGAAAAGCTATACATACTAACATGGGCCAGCTGGAAACCACAACTATATAGTATTTCTTTTCAGCTTTTCAGCTGGAATTCCGAAAGAACTCTGAGGTCATGTAGAGTGCGGCATACTGTTAGATGGGGCCTGGGTGGGCTTGGTGTTACAGGACCTGCCCCAGGTCATGGTCTGTGGTGCGGAGGGAGGGTGTGATTTCCCATCCCCTTCTTATCTCTTTGTCCCATACTTTTTGCCCTGTACACACATGATCGTCCTCAATATCTTAAGTGGGATCTCCCATATAGCTAAAATTGATATTGGCATCTGAAGTATGCCTAACTTAGCTGAATATTTGGCCTTTGCCTTTAAAGGATCTGTAAGCTATTGGGATGAGACCAGGGAGAAAAAGGAAGACCATAGATAACTCAAGCATAATCTGCCATCCAATAATTTCATGACATGCTTATCCTTGGAATAAAGTTGGACTGTTGTCAGGAAACTGTCCCACCATTTTTTTTGCATGTAGAGACCTCCATCGCTATGGCCTCCATTGTAATGGGCTGTCATTGGGTTTGAAAAAAGTCTACATGTTGATTTTCATGGCAATAAAAGAGTCAGAGGTGCAAGCTGGAGCAAGGTGCTCGCCAAAGCTAGGCCTTTCCCCTCCCTCAGGAACTGGCAACAAGAGCAAGAGTTAGCTTCCTGAATGTTTGCATTTCAAAGAGACAGCTCTCAGGTCTTTGGGGAGACAATTCTGGGATGTAGATTTACACTTCAAAGGCAGAGAAAAGATTTATAATTGCAAGCTTTCTAAGGTTCTAAGAGGGGATTCAGGGCTCTACCTGCCCATCACCAGGTTTTGCCTGAAACAAACAGTAAATTCTCCTTGCAAGTGAGCTTTCTCAGGCAGTCATTTTAAGGAGGGCTGGGGTCATCCGTGGGACATCCTTGTGCTGCTGGAAGCCTCACTAGAGTTTGGTCCTCTCTTTGGACAGGGGTTTGGAAGGAGTAGTTAAGTACTGCGAGGCCTGCGTTCTCATGACCAAAGTTCACAAATGCCCATTTCCTTCTTTCTTTCTTTTTCTTTTTTTTAATATTTAAAAATCTTTATGTGTCTATTAACACCTTTTGGAAATTTCCATCCCTTTCAAACTATGTTCCAGTCAAACAAAACAAAGTGTGGCCCAGCAGCCCTGGGGAGTCTCTGGGTGAAGGGGAGATGAGCACACAAATGTTGAGAGTTTGAGAACCCCTGGCCTTGATCTTTATGATAGTTGGTCAAGTGGTCATCAGTGAAATCCACAGGGATTCCCTGAGAGTGTATAGCTTTGGCATGATGGTTGCTGTAATCTGAAGGGGAAAGTAGAAGTTTACATGTGAGTACTGAAGAAGCTTGAGACTGTCTCGCTCTGTCACCCAGGCTGGATGCAGTGGGGCCTTCTGGGCTCACTGCAACCTCCACAATTCTCCTGCCTCAGCCTCCCCAGTAGCTGGGATTACAGGTGCCTGCCACCACATCTGGCTAATTATGTTTTTCTTTAAAATTAGTTTTATTTAAAAAGTACAAGTAGCATCTTACTTTTACTTTTGCAAAAAGTAAAGAAATGGTGTTTCGTTGCAAAAATTAAACAAATAAATTTTGGATTGTAGAAAATTCATTAAAAACTCAAATTTTAATTTATTTAAAATCTATCTGGTGCTGTAAGTGTGGCTATTGGCAGATCTCTTTTTATTTATTTTTATTGATTTATTCATATTATCAATAACTAATTTTTAAATTATTATTCGTGAGCCCTTTCCCATGACAGCTTCTTGGAAATTTCTTTCTCTCCCATTAATCTAGTATGATCTCTCAGGCATATTTATTTAAAGTTCTTCCTCTCACTATTCCCTTCTTCACCATCATGCCTAGGTTAGTTACAAAGAACTAATTTAATGACCCATTTATTCTGAAGGGAGGCACAAGAAGTGAAGCTTCTTTCTGAGGCCTGAAGGGATCTCACCTCCTTAAATCTCTGTTTTCCTACCCCTACTTCAGATATTATTGAGACATTATATTTTCTTCCTCTACCTTCAGAAACTTCAGTATCAACAGGTCCAGATCTGCCTAAGCCCTCAGATGAGTCTGCAAACAATCATTGTGTCAACATTTGACTCATGCCTTGCAGATGATCCCAGGCACCGCTGTCTTAACCTGTGAAAACCGCAAATTCTTGGCACAAACAACTTCTTCTGCACATCCCTCCTCCTCATACATACAGTAAGGGACTTGGCCAAATTCCAACACAGCCTCTATCAGCTCAGAGCCACGTCCCTACGATGCCCCATACCCCTCTAAAGCACCTGCCTGGGAACATTCAATTCTGCCAAAAGAATTTACTGTTTGTCCCACCCAAAACTTGACTATAGGCCCCTGACCTCCCATTTCTAAGAGCTTTAACTTTAGAAAACTTGCAATTATGGCCAGGCGTGGTGGCTCAAATCCCATCACTTTCGGAGGCTGAGGAGGGTGGATCTTGAGGTCAAGAGAGCAAGACCATCCTGGCCAACATGGTGAAAACCCGTCTCTACTAAAAATACAAAAATTAGTTGGGCGTGGTGGCACACACATGTAGTCCCAGCTACTTGGGAGGCTGAGGCAGGAGAATCACTTGAACTTGGGAAGCGGAGGTTGCAGTGAGCCGAGATCGCCCCACTACACTCTAGCTTGGTGACAGAGTGAGATTCCGTCTAGAAAAAAAAAAAAACACAAAAAAACAGAAAACCTGTAGTTATAAACCTTTTCTCTGTCCCTTTAAATCTCCTATAACACAGAATGTCTTTCTCAAAGACTTAGGAGCTATCCCTTTGGACTATAAGGATCAAGAAGGATACAGGATTGTCTCCTGGTCTCTGTCTCTGCGTAGGAACCTAACTTTGATAAGCACTATTAGCAAACACAGATGGCCTCATCACATTGACCAACCTTTCCCCAAACATCAGTCCATGCTTTTCCTTTAGCACACTCCAACATTTGCAGAGCCTCTTGCTTTTTGTTTCAGTGGAGTTGAGGCTTTCTAACATACTATAAATTGATATGTCTACTTATTGATTAGAAGACAGAAATTAATCACTGGATTTCATTATCACGCTGACTTTTAGGATTAAAAGCAGCCTGTGGTTACAGATGCAACATCTTTACATTTCGAAGAAAAACAGGAGAGATTTGTCTTTGGCTCCTTTGGACCTCACTGAGTAATAGAAAAGAGAGAATTGAACAGGTTTGGATGATACAGCACAAGTCAGTTTAAAGTTCCAGGCAAAGAAAGCAACGGTTATTTTTCACTCCAGAGAGTGAATCATTCTTTGGGGCCACAAAAGAGAAGATTTGAAGAATAAGCAGGGACATCTAGAAGGTGGCTGAGTGTACTCCATCGGGTTAAATTAAGCTATTTTGTTGTTGTTGTTCAAATAGCTTCCCCACACGGTACATTTCATATCTAAAGTGCTATTCCCTCTCCCATCATTTTATTACGTATGCAATATCTGGCTGAGAACCTCTGTCTTGCCCTCCTTCTTACTGGTTAAGAACACAGACAGTCCTCTCTTTGCACAGCAGTGCAGGGCCATACAAATCACTATGTAAGCTAAAGATCTGTAAAGTGACCTAAACAATCCATGTGAAACATCGACTGTTCTGTGTCATTTAAAAATTTTGGCCAAAACATTAAAAATCTCTTACTGTTGGTTATAAATGTATAAAGAAATGAAACATAGTGAAATTAGTACTTTTTTTTTTTTTTTTTTTGAGATGGAGTCTCGCTCTGTCGCCCAGACTGGAGTGCAGTGGCACGATCTCGGCTCACTGCAAGCTCCACTTCTTGGGTTCAAGCGATTCTTCTGCCTCAGCCTCCCAAGTAGTTGTGGCATGCCACCACACCAGGCTGATTTTTTCTATTTTTAGTACAGACAGGGTTTCACTGTGTTAGCCAGGATGATCTTGATCTCCTGACCTCATTATCCGCCTCAGCCTCCCAAAGTGCTGGGATTACAGGAGTGAGCCACCGTGCCTGGTTGGGAGTACTTCATTTTTACACTGTAATTTAAAACATTAAACAACAGCCAATTAAAGTGCTTTATTTATTTATAGACGTATATCAAGCCCAGTTTGAACAGTGCTTGCCTCCCTCTTGTCGTATAGCTTATGATAAGGAGCCAGCAGTGTTTCTATGCCTTGGTGAACTGTCGTGCTGTTTTCGGAACAGCATCTAACATTGTCAACATTGTCATGCAATATCTACAAGAGTTCCTTTAATATGAAGTTTGTTGCTGTCTTTGCCGGCATCACTTCCTCTGGGGCTTCTTCATCCTTTTCATCACAGCTGCGTTCCTCATTTATGTCAGAACACTGCGTTGCGCCGAGTTCCTCTTGCTGCATTTCCTGTGGTGAGCCAATTCTATGATTCCATTTACATTGTATTTGAATACACTTCCAGGGTTATCACATTTTTTATTTCTTTGCTGCACATCAATGGTTGTTGACCAGTTTTTTCTTCTGATTATTCATATTTATAAATGTCACATGGGTTTCTCACTGGGAGACAAGGAGTCAACACGATTGCAGACTTTGCTGTCTGTGTGCAAACTAGCAGATGCACAGTGAGCAGTCACTGACAGGCTTTGAAGGAAGTGAATTGTGTCCCCCTAAAAAGATATATTTGAAATCCTAATCCCCAATATCTCAAAATAATATGATCTTATTTGGAAATAGCACATTTACAGAGGTTCTCAAGTTAAAATGAGGTCATTAGGGTGGGTCCTAATCCAATAGACTAACTGGTGTCTTATAATAAAGGAGAATTTGGATACAGCTCCAGACACACACACAAAAAAAGACGATGTGAAGACACATAGAGAAAACAGAGTGATATATCTATAGATCAGACAACAACAAGGATGGCTGGCAAACCCAAACAGGAAGGAGAGGGGAAGAAGGATTCTCCCCTAGAGCCAGCAGAGAGCATGAACCTGCCAACACATTGATTTCTGACTTCTAGCCTCCACAACTACGAGTCAATACATTTCTGTTGTTTTAAGCAACCCGGCTTTTCATACTTTGTTGCAGCATCCCCACAAGATTAATACAGTCCCTAATCATGATGCTTGCCTGTTATTTACTCACATAGGCATTTGTGGAATTAAGAGCTGGGAACGAAGTTTGGATTTTATGCAGTTGCTCACAGTTAGCATATTGTGGTAACTGAAATTGTAACCACGTTTTTGGGAGACTAGTGCTATTTAACTAAACTATGTTAATTAAACCTGTGCATATTCAAATGTGCAAAGCCAGGACTGTTTTTACTTAGTTCAGGTATTTAGAGGGAAAGAATGTTTGCCTCTTTTCAGGGCCTTAGAGCATGCCCTGTGCCAGCAGGCCCCTTCCACAGCTACTTAACATCTCTTCTCATCTTGCCAGCCACCTCTCAACTCAGATGACCAGCAAGGCCATCTTTGACTATCAAAATGAAGTAGCCCCTCTCCGCTTTTGACTACGTTCACTTGCTTTATTGTCTTTATAGCATTTTTATTTACTAAAATAACATTTTTTTCATTACTTGATTTTTTTCTTGATTCAGTACTTCTAAAAAATGCAGATTAAAATTCCAATGACAAACCAAGTTAACTAATGTTAAAAAGTGTGATACTGGCCAGGCACGGTGGCTCATGCCTGTAATCCCAGCATTATGGGAGGCTAAGGCAGGCAGATCACAAAGTCAGGAGATCGAGACCAACCTGGCTAACACGGTGAAACCCCGTCTCTAACAAAAATACAAAAAATTAGCCGGGCGTGGTGGTAGGCACCTGTGGTCCCAGCTACTTAGGAGGCTGAGGCAGGAGAATGGTGTGAAACCAGAAGGCGGAGCTTGCAGTGAGCCGAGATCACGCCACTGTACTCCAGCCTGGGTGACAGAGCGAGACTCTGTCTCAAAAAAAAAAAAAAAAAACAAACTGTGATACTATTAGGTATTGTTGAGAATATAGATCTATCAGAACCTTTAACTTCTCATGGGAGCATAAATCGGAAAACAGTTCATTTTAACTTAGTGTACAAATCTTTTGACACAATGATTTGAATGTTGGGTTTATACCTTAGAGAAAATCTAACTCTTATGTCCAGGAGACTCATACAAGAAAAGGACATCTACTTTTTGTAACAGAAAAAAATGGATAATAACCCCAATCTAATAAAATGGAATGCTCATTATAGTATTATCCTGTGATGGAATACTCTAAATCAATGCACAGAAAGTACAGATAAACATATCATAAGAATGAATCTTACAAATTTAATATTGAACCAAAAAGCAATTTCAGAAAAATATATTCAGTGTGATCCCATTTGTTTAAACTGAAAAACATGTAAAACAATAATGTTCAATGTCCTTTACTAATGCATTTATTTTGGCAAAATTATAAAGGCAAGAAATGGGACTAATTAACAGGACAGTGTTAAGGACTCTAAAAATATGGGTAGTTTTTGATTCTTAAGCAGGTAATGTGTACATCAGTGTTCATTTTATTATTTCTTACACTGTGTTCATGACTTACACATAATATTTTGCTAGTTTTAAAACATAAGATGTGATAATAATCTAAACAGACCAAAGGAAAAAATGAATATGTTAAAAAAAAAGACAGAGAATGAGCCCTGTCTGATAGAAAGCATAACAAAGCAAGTAGAAGAACTCTCACGAATGCTTGATCCAATAAAGCTAGGTTTGTGCTCCACAACACTTCAGCATTTTAATGTGATTTTTGATGTTTGCTTTTTGCAACGGTGATTCTCAGTTGCCTCCCTCCTATGTCTTTACAAGCTGAAATCAAGTGAAGCTACTTCTGACTTTTTCTAAAACTAAAACCCAACATGAAGGTCTGCGTATTCTTTCACATGTGCACGTATGTGGCACTTTTCCATGATGCAACAGCAGCGGGTCTCTAGCTAAGCTACAGCAGCAGCTCTAAGAGGCAGAGGACCCTGAAATGAGGCTGAAAGAAAGAATAGTCCATAACTGACATCAGGCAGGCTGCTGTTGTAAGCAAAGAAAGGAGGCTCACAGGGGCGTGGACTCAGGCCAGGTCAGGCTATTGTGGGAGAACACGGAGCACACGTGTCAGCTGGAAAGGGGCCGGCTCAGGAGACAAAATAGGCACGAGAGGAAACCGAAAAATTGACATACGTGACTATCCTTGTAGAAATGTATAAAGGTTTGGATTATTTTGCTTATCGAGTTATAATAAACTTATTCTAAAAATGTTTATGTAAAGTATTATGTACATTTTTGTTTTACCTTATAAAGATTATTTATATTTGAATTGTGTGGTTTTGGAATGACAGTATTTATAAAGTTGGTTTTGACATTCTCTACGATGCTTAATGAAGAAACTGACGTTCAAAGAGATTGGTTAATTCCCTGTGGCCAGTGGCTGAGCTGGGACAGAGTTCAGGTTTTCTGATTCTCAGCCTATGTTGTTTTCTCTTCATTTTAATGTGAACCTAAATAGGTATAGGATCTAGACAAATATGACATGTAGTGCCTTATTTCTTGTTTTCTCTGTAATGAATGCCAGGTGAGATAACTTTATTTACAAAAGCCCATCCAGTGGCTCAGGTTGCATCTGTAGTTGCCTTTGAATCATTTATTCAACGTCAGGATGGTAAAGTGAGGAGCTTCCCCAAACTGAAGCAGAGTGGCATTTGTCCCAGGTTGTAGAGTGTTCCCTGCCATAAATAAAGACATGCTGGTTCTTGTTATTTATACAGGCACTGGGGTTCCCATTAGCTCTTACATTTCATATGCTTAGAGCAAGAAGCTAGAGAGTGACTTAGGATACAGTGTAAATATATTAGTAAATTAAGACAGTTCTGCAAGATTTTTAGGACTTCTATTTTTCTTCTATTCATCATTTATGAAGTATTCTTGCTGGAAATAGTTTATGTCTCTCTATCTTGCTGAGTGATGAATACTCGGCCAGGATGTTAAAATGTGGTTTCATGAAGTATGTTGTGTTTCTGTCTGTTCTTGTTTCCTTCCTTGAAATGTGTAAAAGTGAAAAACGTATTAATCATAAATCAAGCATTCATCATAAGCCTAAAAAAAGATAAAATAATCAGTAGTATCATTGACTAAAATTATTACTCACCAAAAGAAACTCACTCCAAAGTTAGCACAATACTAACAGAGAATCCTAGTTTTGCCAGGAATCACTGAGGCATAGTACCTCACATGGGAAACATGGGAAGTAAAACCACCTGAGGAGCCACTTGATGGTGAGTCAGGCTGTTCCTCGAAGAGCAGGCTGTGACTGCCAAACTTTGTAGGTTAAGGAGTATTTATAATGATCTTTGAGGAAACTGCAACTGACAATTGAGGAAAAAATATGTTAGTTCATGACTGCAAAATACATGACAGAATCACAAAAACTATTTTACAAGTTTAAAAAACAAACCTGATGCTGATGCAGGGCAGGCAAACCCCAAAGTGGGGCTTAGCCTGCAAGGGTTCTTGGCTTCACCCAGGAAAGGATTCAAGGGCGAGCCAGTGGTAAGGTGGAAGAAAACACCTTTATCAAAGCAACACTGTTGCAGCTCCTGTGGGGTCACAGCTCAGTGACTGCTCCCAGGGTTGCCCCATAGGCAGGGTGCCGAGAGTAGTGGCTGAGCCCAGTTTTGCAGTCATATGTATACCTACTTTTAATTACATGCAGATTCAGGGGTGGTTTGTGCAGAAATTGTTAGGAAAAGGGTGGTAATTTTTGGGTCATCAGGTCATTGTTGCTGAAAGGGGTGGTAATGCCTGAGTGTTGCCATGGCAATGGTAAACTGACAGGGCACACTGGTGGGTGTGTCTTACAGAAAGCTGCTTCCTCTCTGTCCTTGTTTAGCTAGCCCTCAATCTTTTGTTTGTAAATTAGCAAGAGAGTCATGGCCTTGGCGTTTTATCCCAGAAGTACAGTGGACCCCAGAGCACTCTAGACCCAGGAGCCAAACCAAATCACAGCATCCCACAGTTGTGTCCAGCCCTCCATCACTGATTGGCTGCAATCCAACAAGTGGCCCAGAGGGGAGGGTTCATTGAAAGCTCTTTGCTAAGTGACAGGCCTTTAAGGAGGAAAAGGCTCTTAAAGATTGGTATGGGATGGGGGAAGTGTTTGTGGTCACCACGGCACCCCAAGGCTGTGGCCTTCTCTGAGCACCCTGAGACTCAGCCATGTCTTTCTCTCTGTTTTCCCACAAAACCAGCCAGTGCTAAAGCATATCCTCCTGGCCTACAAACAGTGGCCATGACTTCCAACTCATCCAGGCTACTTCTGATTTAGTGTTAGGCCGCCCACTTGATGTGTATGTTCCCATGCTGTGTCGACCCTATTGCTTAATGAAAACACACAGCACTTGTTTGCTTCTCAACTTACTTCTCATGAAATATTACTACTCCTCCCCACCCAATCACAATCCTTTGCTGCCAAAAATCCCTTGCTACCCTGTACATTTTGCCCAATAAGGGAACCCCTCAGCACACACACACAATGGCCTCCTCAGAAGGCTGAGTCAGCAGAATCGCATGAACCAGGGAGTTGCAGGTTGCAGTGAGCCAAGATTGCGCCACAGCACTCCAACCTGGCGACAGAGCAAGACTCTGTCTCAAAACAAACAAACAAACAAACAAAAAACAAAAAAAATGCCTCACTCATCTCACTTATGTAATCATGACAGTACCATTAATTGTATTATCCCTATAATACAGATGACAGCTGCCAAAAATATACAGAGAAGGGTTAATTAAACTGCATAACATTACTCAGAGAATGCATTCTTTTTATTCCATAGGTTTTTCTATTACAGTACTACATACACAGAGGCCTTCCATTGGAAATAACTTATAGGAATTATTGTAGGCCTCTTTGCACTTTCTTCAGCTCTTGGTTTAGGTCTCAAATTGTGAGTGATTTCTCTCTTTAGTGAAGTTGTAATGCAATTCATTACCATAGCAGAAAACACAGAAAATATTACCTATTTATTAACTGGAAATGCACTCACATCTTGTATTAGTCCATTCTCATGCTGCTATGAAGAAATATCCAAGACTGGGTAATTATAAAGAAAAGAGGTTTAATTGATTCACAGTTCCACATGGCTAGGGAAGCCTCAGGAAACTTACAATCATGGCAGAAGGCACCTCTTCACATGGTGGCAGCAGAAATAATGAGTTTTGAGCAAAGGGGAAGCCCCTTATAAAATGATCAGATCTCATGAGAACTCACCCACCATCATGAGAACAGCATGGGGGCAACTACCCCATGATTCAATTATGTTCACCTGATCCTACCCTTTACACTTGGGGATTATGGGAACTGCAATTCAAGATGCGATTTGGGTGGGGACACAGAGCCAAATCATATCATTCTGTCCCTGGCCCCCCTCCAAGTCTCATGTCCTCACATTTCAAAACACAATCATACCTTTCCAACAGTTCCCCAGAGTCTTAGCTCATTACAACATTAACCCAAATGTCCAAGTCCAGAGTTTCATCTGAGTCAAGTCCCTTCCACCTATGAGCCTGTAAAATCAAAAGCAAGTTAGTTACTTTGTAGATACAATGGAGACACAGGCATTGGGTAAATACACCCATTCCAAATGGGAGAAATTGGCCAAAACAAAGGGGCTACAGGCCCTATGCAAGTCTGAAATCCAATAAGGCAGTCATTAAACCTTAAAGTTCCAAAATGTTCTCCTTTGATTCCAGGTCTCACATCCAGGTCACACTGATGCAAGAAGTAAGCTCCCATGGCCATGGGCAGCTCCACCCCTGTGGCTTTGCAGGGTACAACCCCCTCCTGGTTGCTTTCATGGGCTGGCATTGAGTGTCTGTGGCTTTTCCAGGGGCACAGTGAAAGTTGTCAGTGGATCTACCATGCTGGGGTCTGGAGGACAGTGACCCTCTTCTCACAGCTCCACTAGGTAGTACCCCAGTGAGGACTCTGTGTGGGGGCTCCAACCCCACATTTCCGTTCTGCACTGTCCTAGCAGAGGTTCTCCATGAGGGCTTTGCCCCTGCAGCAAACTTCTGCCTGGGTATCCAGGCATTTCCATACATCCTCTGAAATCCAGGTGAAGGTTCCCAAACCTCAATTCTTGACTTCTGTGAACCCACAGGCTCAACACCACATGGAAGCCTCCAAGGCTTGGAGCTTGGACCCTCTGAAGCAATGGCCTGAGCTGTACCTTGGCCCCTTTTAACTGTGGCTGGAGCTGAAGCATCTGGGAGACAGGGCACCATGTCTCAAAGCTGCATAGAACAGGGGGTCTTGGGCCCATGAAACCATTTTTCCCTCCTAGGTTTCCAGGCCTGTGATGGGAGAGGCTGCCAAGAAGGTCTCTGACTTGCCCTGGAGACATTTCCCTCATTGTCTTGGTAATTAGTATTCCACTCCTTGTTCTGCAAATTTCTGCAGCTGGCTTGAATTTCTCCCAAGAAAATGGGTTTTTCTTTTCTATCGCCTTGTCAGGCTGCAAGTTTTCCAAACTTTTATGCTCTGCTTCCTCTTGAACACTTTGCTGCTTAGAAATTTATTCCACGAGATACCCTAAATCATCTCTCTCAAGTTCAAACTTCCACAGCTCTCCAGGGCAGGGGCAAAGTGTTGCAGTCTCTTTGCTAAAGCGTAGCAAGAATCACCTTTATCCCAGTTCCCAACAAGTTCCTCATCTCCATCTGAGACCACCTCAGCCTGGACTTCATTTTCCATGTCACTATCAACATTTTGGTAGAAGCCATTCAAGTCTCTAGGAAGTCCCAAACTTTCCCACATCTTCTTGTCTTCCAAGTCCTCCAAGTCTCTAGGAAGTTCCACACTTTCCCACATTCTTCTGTCTTCTTTTTTTTTTTTGAGATGGAGTTTCGCTCTTGTTGCCCAGGCTGGAATGCAGTGGTGCAATCTCTGCTCACTGCAACCTCCACCTCCCATGTTCAAGCCATTCTCCTGCCTCAGCCTCCCAAGTAGCTGGGATTACAGGCATGCATCATGATGCCCAGCTAATTTTATATTTTTAGTAGAGATGGGGTTTCACCATGTTGGCCAGGCTGGTCTCACACTCCTGATCCCAGGTCATCCACCTGCCTCGGTCTCCCAAAGTCCTGGGATTACAGGGATGAGCCACCACACCCAGCCTTTACTGTCTTCTTCTGAACCCTCCAAACTATTCCAACCTCTGCCTGTTGCCCAGTTCCAAAGTCACTTCCACATTTTAGTGTATCCTTATAACAGCACCCTATGTCTGTGGTACCAATTTACTGTATTAGTCTGTTTTCATGCTGTTATGAAGAACTCCTCAAGACTGGGTAATTTATAAAGAAAAGAAGTTTAATTGACTCATAGTTTCACATGGCTGGGGATGCCTCAGGAAACTTACAATCATGGCCAAAGGCACCTCTTCACAGGGTGGCAGCAGAAACAATGAGTTCTGAGTGAAGGAAGAAGCCCCTTATAAAACCGTCAGATCTTGTGAGAACTCACTATCACGAGAACAGCTTGGAGAAAACCACCCCTGTGATTCAATTATGTCCATCTGGTCCCACCCTTGACACATAAGGATTATGGGAATTACAAGATTACACATTAATCTTAAATT
Organism: Homo sapiens; assembly: GCF_000001405.40. Classification (NCBI taxonomy): domain Eukaryota; kingdom Metazoa; phylum Chordata; class Mammalia; order Primates; family Hominidae; genus Homo; species Homo sapiens. The sequence continues at coordinate 39,317,337 of NC_000009.12, read as the reverse complement.
ACACATTAATAAGTGTGTAATGAAACATCCCCTTTTTTTATTTGAGTTCATTTCAATAGATATGGAAATAATAGAAAATGCATCTGACATCAAATTCCTGGGAAGTACAGACAAAAAAAAAAAACCAAAAACAGATCTTTAAAGGTATTTGAATAAGTAAATGTTGCAGCCAAACCATATCACTTGTTAAAAATGCACGTTAACCATTGAATCAAAACCATATATAAGCTTAGATAATTCAATTTCAACCAGATTATTCCTTTTATTCTTTAAATGATGGAGAACATTATAGCCATAGGCTCGTGCTGACAATTTTTCCTTAAATGAATGAAAAGATGAATTTATTTTTCTCAAAGAATTCTGTACCATTATAGGAATAAAAGATCAGCAGTTGTAACAGGGAATGGCCAAAAAGCCTGAAATAACATTGCTGTTAAGAATTAGCTATTACAAAATCGCCCCAAGAAATCTCAGTGCTCCACAAACTTCACATGGTTGAGGGCCATAATTATTATAAAAGTTGAACTATGTTAATTCAGAGATCACTGTCATTATTACTCTCAAGGATCCGAGAGCCATGCATAATCCCAGAACATTGCATACCTAATCAGGAATGGAGAAGTAATGTCCTTTTGAATTTTATACCTCTGGGGCTGCCCATAAAAATCTTAGGATTTTGAGCTCTTTGAGGGTCATGATGTTTACCTCTATTCTCTTTCTGTCCACAAACATCTAAGATATCAGTAATGTTATTCACTAATTTGCTGACAAAGAGTAAATTGAATAAAATTTAAATATATTTACTCTGAAAGTAATAAAATTTAAATATATTTACTCTGAATATATGATCTTTAGAATAAACTAATTTTTCAGTGATTCATTCTGCACAATTTTAAATCTTTTTCATAGTAACCTCAGTTTGTGTGACTTTAAATGGGAAAACTCACATTTTAAATGTATAATGAAACATCCTCATTTTTGATTTGAGTTCATTTCAATAGATATGGAAATAATAGAAAATGTCCCTGAGGTCAAATTCCTGGGAAGTAGAAGCAAAAAAATACCAGATCTTTAAAGGTATTTGAATAAGTAAATGTTGCAGTCTGTACTTTATCAGTAAGCTATGATACAAAAAACAATGCATGGCAGTTGCTTGTCAATTTTGTGATTTATTCAGAAACATACATCTCTGCATACACTTACAGTTTTATACAGTAGTGCAAAACGTCAAAAGCACTGATGTTGCTCAAAGGAAATGTTAAGGAGCTAAGCCTCGCTGCAAATTCCTTCACAAACCCGTCCAATCCTGTGAGCGTCGAGCGGCCTTCACATCACAGCCTGCATCCTGACAGGCCCGTGAGACCCATCCCGCTTCATGGAACGTGAGTCAGCAGCTCAGGGAAGGACAAGGACATCTACATAATTGGCTTGAAATATTCAACTTTTCAAAATTTTATATTTTCATACATATAAATATATATTCTTAAAATGTATTTTTGTTTTTCTATCCGAACAGAAGTGCAATAATTCTTTAAAAATACTTCTAAACAGACCAGGGCAGTGGCTCACACCTGTAATCCCAGCACTTTGGGAGGCCGAGGCAGGTGGATCACAAGGTCAGGAGATTGAGACCATCCTGGCTAACACGGTGAAACCCTGTCTTTACTAAAAATACAAAAAAATTAGCCAGGTGTGGTGGCGGGCGACTGTAGTCCCAGCTGCTGGGGAGGCTGAGGCAGGAGAATGGCGTGAACCCGGGAGGCGGAGCTTGCAGTGAGCCGAGATCGCGCCACTGCACTCCAGCCTGGGTGACAGAGCGAGATTCTGTCTCAAAAAAAAAAAAAAAAAAGATAGAAAATAGCATTAACCTTGAAGGACGCTTTACGCCAAATGGACCTAATAGACACATACAGAAACTTCACCCAACAGCAGCAGAATACACATTCTTCTCAGGGACACATAGAACATTCTGCAGGATAGACAACAGGTTAGACCACAAGACGAATCTTTGCAAATTTAATATTAGAATCATATCAAGTACCTTTTCAGACAACAATGATATGACACTAGAAACCAACAATAGAAGGAATTCCAGAAAATGTACGAATACGTGGAAACTAAGCAACATGGTGGTGAACCACCAATAGGTCAATGAAGAAATGGAAATTAAAAGAATTAAGCAACATGCTCTTGAACAACCAATAGGTCAATGAAAAAATTAAACAAGAAATGTAAAAATATCTTGAGAAAAACAAAAATGGAAACACAACATACCGAAACTTATGAGATCCAGCAAAAGCATTTCTAAGAGGAAAGTTTATAGCAATAAACATCAAGAGCAAAAAGAAGAAAGATCTCAAATAAACAACTTAGTATTATGCCTCAAGGAAATAGAAAAAGGATATCAAATTCTTCCAATGTTAGCAGAAGGAAATAAAATAATAAAGATCAGAGCAAAAATAAGTGAAATGAAAACTAGAAAATGACACAAAAGATGAACAAAACTAAGTTTCTTAAAAATATAAAACCAATAATCTTTTAGCTAGACTAAGAAAAAAGGAGAGAAGACTCAAATAAATAAAATTAGAAATGAAAAAGGAGACATTATAACTGATACCACAAAAATACAAAGGATCATAAGAGACTGTTACAATTACATGCCTTTACAAAAATCATTTTTTCATTGGCAACAACATTGGAAAATGTTATGCTAAAAGAAATAAGCGAAGCCAAAAAAGACAAAAACTTCATGTTCTCAATTATATGTGGAATCTAAAACAATCAAACTGAAAGAAGCAGAGAGCAGAATGGTCATTAGCAGAGGCTGGAGGTGCGGGGTGGAACGGATAGATATTGGACAAAAGGTACAAAGCCTCATTTATACAAAAGGAATAATAAGGGTTTTTTTTCTTTGAGATATATTGCAAAACTTGGTGAAAATAGTACATAGTAAAGAATTCTACATTTTAAAAATCACTAAGAGAGTAAATTTCAAATGCATTCCCCATTAAAAATGACAAGTATTTGAGGTGGTGGATGTTAATTAGCTTGATATAATTATTCCAAATTGTATTCATAAATTATATCACCATTTTGTACTCCATAAATATACACAACTACGATTTGTCAATTTACAATTTAAAAATAAAAATCAAAGCACAAAACAAAACAAGAAAACACAATACGTGTGTGTGTACCTATGCATGTGTGAGTCCATACAAGTGCACACACACACCCCCTTCACGTCCATTACTTTCCAAAGTGGACAAATGTGTAATTATTTCTAATTAATCATTAGAAATACATCAAGGAACAAGTACAATAAGGCAAGTAAATTTACTGATATCCCATCAGAGATAAGTGGGACATTGCAAATTAACAACAATGGAGGAACAAACCACAGTTTATTTTCTTACTTTATGAGACATCCTTTTTGAATTTTGAAAAATTATAGAGAAGTATCTTTAATTTGGTGTAGATGCTTAGTTATTCAAAAGGGAACTCAGAAAAATTAGAAGCAGACCACTTCATTATTTTTCACAATAATAACCAATATGAAACTTTTCCTGGAAGACTAAAATCTTACCACAAAGAAATTAAGCAAAAACATTGGGCACTTCTTATATAAATACAGCCTGTTTTGAAATGGTATGTTTTTTAATTTTTACAAACATTTTCACTTGCAGATAATTTCGCATGTGCATAAAAGTTGAAAAAATATGCAAAGAACTCCCATATACCTACCCTTTACCCAGGTTTATCAATTGTTAACATTTCATCACACTTGTTTATTCTAGATAGGTATTGATATAGATATACACACACATTTTTCTGAATTATCTAAGAGCAAGATGCAGACAGTATGCCCCTTTATTTCTATACACTAGTGTAGATTTCCTAGGAACAAAGTCATTCCTTAAAGGAGGAAATTCAGTGAGGCCTTCTGCAGTAAATGACATTCTGAGCCAGCTGATTTGGCCTTGTGACCAATATGAGGGACTATTTAACTTCGTATTTTTTTATCTCCTTCTTTATTTACACCCAGTTATATTGTTTTCCATTTCGTTTACTCGCATAAATGTCAGATTTGTCCATGTGATTTATCAGGTTTATCAGAATATCAACTTGAATCTTTTCTTTTCTCTAACATTTATCTAAATATCTCAGGAGACTCTCATCCTTCCTTCTCTCCTTTATTCCATTTGCAAAGTTAAAAAAAAAGCCTCAATTATGGCATTTCAGTATTCATAGTAGTACAGATAATACATTTATATCAAGGAAAAGAAACGCATTTTAGGCCAGGCGCGGTGGCTCACGCCTTTAATCCCAGCACTTTGGGAGGCCAAGGCGAGCGGATCAAGAGGTCAGGAGATGGAGACCATCCTGGCCAACATGATGAAACCCCGTCTCTACTAAAAATACAAGAATTAGCTGGATGTGGTGGCGCGTTCCAGTAGTCCCAGCTACTCCGGAGGCTGAGGCAGGAGAATTGCTTGAACCCGGGAGGCGGAAGTTGCCGTGAGCCGAGATGGTGCCATCGCACTCCAGCCTGGCGACAGAGCGAGATTGTCTCTCAAAAAAAAAAAAAAATGCATTTCAAAGGTAAGGAGACATAATATAGAATTTGTACACCAGATTCTGAACTTATGACTATTTTTAAAGGATAATTTGAAAGTTATACCAGAATATGCTGCTTCTTGATTTGGTCTTATTTTGCTCTTTTTATTTCTTGTTTTTGTTTGTTGTTTGAGGTAGGAATTTAGTTGGTTGAGGACTTTATCACTTCTAATATAAACATTTAGTAATAAAAATTTTCCTCTCACCTCTGCTTCAGCTGCATCTTACATATTTTCATATACCTTATTTTTATTTTAAATCAGTTGTATGCACTTTAGTATATTGTCAACAAGATAATATTTCTAAAATAAAAACCAAGACATCAAGGGTTTACTTTCTGAACATTTCTTAACATTAAATCAGCACAGCATCTTCCCAGATCTTTTCGTTTTTGGATGGCTCCATACTTTATTCCCTACCTACCTCCTCTTTCCTTTAAAGAATGATTAACAGGTTCCATAGACAATATCAAATAAAACCCGAAACATAACCAAAGTAATTGGAAGTAAAAGAGAAGGAAGGGTAAGATAGTTAACATAAACATGAACCAGTTTATACACTTTTTAATAATGTTTTTCTTTTACTTAAAAAATAAGTAGAGTGTAAAGGTAGTCCTTTGTTTAATCACTGAATCTCAAACTGTTTACTACAGAATAAAACAAGTAAAATAATCATCATCCATTATAAGCTTAATCAAGATGAGCACTGTTTAATCCTGATTAATTTATAACTAATTTTCTGCTGCTGGTACACTTTTTAAAAACAGCTTTGTTTAGCCATAATTTAAATTTTGTGTAATTTACTCACTTAAAATGTTTCATACATATTAATATATTCATTCAGTTGTTCAATCATCACCAAAGTTTCATTTTATAACATTTTTGGTACCCTCAAAGAGTCCCAGTACCCATTAGCAGTCACTTCCCATTCCTCCTCCACCTTACATCATTAGGCAACCACTGTCTAAACTTGCCTGTTTGGGAGATTTTATATAAACGGAATAATACAAAATGCACTCTTTGGTTCTGGTTTCTTTTATGCAGCATGATATTTACAAGAATATAATATTTTCACCCAGGTTGCAGCATGTGTTAGTACTTCATTCCTTTTGTTGGTCAATAACATGATATCATATATATGATATATGATACACCATATTGTATTTATCCATTCATCAGTTAATTAACATTGGGGTTGTTTTTACTTTTTGGCTATTATAAGTAATACTGTAATAAATATTAAAATTTTTTTAAGAGCTTGTGAAGAATGGCACTAATTCTTTAAATGATTGGTAGATATTATTCTAGAAATGATATTTCGTCAACATTATCTAATATGTTGACATTCTTTTTTCATAGTACCTTTAATAGTTCTTTTTATTTCTATAAGGTCAATAGTAATGTCCCTCTTTCATTCTTAATTTTAGTAAGTTGAATCTTTCTTTCTCCCTGTAAGTGTAGCTAAAGTTTGTTAATTTTGTTAATCTTTTTAAAGACCCAACTCTTGGTTTTGTTGATTTGCTCTACCATTTTTTCTATTTCTTTAATTTCTATTTCAATGTTTATTATATCCTTTCTTCTGCTTATTTTTCATCATGATCTCATCTCTGACTCATTGGTTATTTAGAAGTATGTAGCTAATTTTTATAAGTTCTGCTTTTCCCAAAGTTCTTTCTGTTTTTAATTTCTAATTTAATTCCACTTTGATCAAAGAACAATCATTTTCTACTTTTTTTGAGGTTTGGTTTTTGGCCTAGCATGTGATCTATTTTAGGAACTGTTCCATGTGCACTTGAGAGTAATGTTCCGCTTTTGGGTGTACTGTACTGTCATCTAGCTAGTTTATACTGTTACTCAAATCCTCCATATTCTTGCTAGCATCTATTTAGCTTTTCTGATTATCGAAAGTGAGATACTGATGTCTGCTATGATTACCATCTCCAACTATTATTGTTGAATTCTACCTTTAATTCACCTTTAATTCTACCTTTAATTTTTGCTTTGTAGATTTTGGAAAAATTTCGTTCAGTGCACATAGGTTTATAATTTTTATACCTTCTTGATATATTGTCTCTTTAACATTACAGCATGTCCTTCTTTATCTCTGATGTATCAGTCTGTTCTCACAGTGCTAATAAAGACATACTTGCGACTGGGTAATTTATAAACGAAAGAGGTTTGACCTGGCTAGGGAGGCCTCACAATCACGGTGTAAGGCAAGGAGGAGCAAAGTCACATCTTACAATCATAGCGGCACGCAAGAAAGCATGCTTTATAAAAGCATCACATGGCCGGGCGCTGTGGCTCACGCCTGTAATCCCAGCACTTTGGGAGGCCGAGGCGGGCGGATCATAAGGTCAGGAGATCAAGACCATCCTGGCTAACACGGTGAAACCCCGTCTCTACTAAAAATACAAAAAAATTAGCCGGGCGAGGTGGCGGGCGCCTGTAGTCCCAGCTACTCGGGAGGCTGAGGCAGGAGAATGGCGTGAACCCCGGGGGGCGGAGTGTGCAGTGAGCCGAGATCGCGCCACTGCACTCCAGCCTGGGCGACAGCGAGACTCCGTCTCAAAAAAACAAAAAAAACAAAAACAAAAACAAACAAAAACAAACAAACAAACAAAAAAGCATCACATAACTGGTCTGAGATAGTATCTCATTGTGGTTTTGATTTGCCTTTCTCTAATGACCAGCGATGATGAGCTTTTCTTCATATGTTTGTTGGCTGCATAAATGTCCTCTTTTGAGAAGTGTCTGTTCATATCCTTTGCCCACATTTTGATGGGGTTGTTTGTCTCTTGTAAATTTGTTTAAGTTCTTTGTAGATTCTAGATATTCGCCTTTTGTCAGATGGACAGATTGTAAAAATTTTCTCCCATTCCGTAGGTTGCCTGTTCACTCTGATGATAGTTTCTTTAGCTGTGCAGAAGCTCTTTAGTTTAACCAGATCCCATTCGTCTATTTTGGCTTTTGTTGCCATTGCTTTTGGTGTTTTAGTCATAAAGTCCTTGCCCATGCCTATGTCCTGGATGGTATTGCCTAGATTTTCTTCTAGGGTTTTTATGGTTTTAGGTCTTATGTTTAAGTCTTTAATCCATCGTGAGTTAAATTTTGTATAAGGTGTAAGGAAGGGGTCCAGTTTCAGTTTTCTGCGTATGGCCAGCCAGTTTTCCCAATACCATTTATTAAATAGGCAATTCTTTCCGCATTGCTTGTTTTTGTCAAGTTTCTCAAAGATCAGATGGTTGTAAATGTGTGGTGTTATTTCTGAGGCCTCTGTTCTGTTCCATTGGTCTATATCTCTGTTTTGGTACCAGTACCATGCTGTTTTGGTCACTGTAGCCTTATAGTATACTTTGAAGTCAGGTAGCATGATGTCTCCAGCTTTGTTCTTTTTACTTTTGCATCTTTTAAAGAAGCTGAGGAAGAAAGGAGGGCAAGTATACATTTGTAAAGTTTGTGATATTAATCTTCTTATCTGCCATTTCTGGTTCTCTTTATTTTTGTACACCTGAAAAACCATCTGGTGTCAACCTCTTGGTTGGTCCAATATAGATTTGCTTCTGCTCATATCCTTTGTGCCATTATTGTCAAATATATTACATTTCCATAGGTTACGAATCCAACAATCTGTGTATATACATATCATTTTATGCAATTGCATTTTAAATCATTTAAGGAAAGAAGACAAAATATCCAATTATACTCTAACAATTATCTACATAATTCAATTTACCAGCCTCTTTGTTTTCTCATATGGGGTTGAACACGTATCAGGAATCAGCTTGGAAATCTTTTGTTAGTGTTAATAAATATCAAGATAAATCTTCCAGCAACACATTTTCTCAATTTTTGTTTATATGAAAATGTCTATTTTTTTTTTTTTTTTTCGAGACAGAGTCTTGCTCTGTTGCCCAGGCTGGAGTGCAGTGGTGCAATCTTGGCTCACTTCAAGCTCCGACTCCCAGGTTCACGCCATTCTCCTGCCTCAGCCTCCCGAGTAGCTGGGACTACAGGCGCCCACCACCACGCCTGGCTAATTTTTTCTATTTTTAGTAGAGACGGGGTTTCACCATGTTAGCTAGGATGGTCTCGATCTCCTGACCTTGTGATCCACCCACCTCTGCCTCCCAAAGTGCTGGGATTACAGGAGTGAGCCATCACGCCCAGCCAGAAAATGTCTATTTAATCTTTAGTCTTAGCATATAGTTTTGCTAGATATAAGATTCTTGGTCTCTTATTTTCTTTAATCACTTTTAATATGTCATTCCACTTTCTTCTGCCTTCTATTACTTATGATGAGCAATTAGTTTTTAATCTTATTGGAGTTTCCTTTATGTGATAAATCTATATATGAATATCAATTGGATCCTGTTGGTGAACTGTGTAGTTCATATTTTTCTATATCTATGCTAATTTTCTGACTAGTAATTCTGTCAGCTAGTGAGAAGTTTGGAATCCCCAACTATAATTGTAGATTTGTCTATTTCTTCTTTCAGTATTCTCTGCTTTTGCTCCATGTATTTTAAAATTCTGTTGGTTTATATACATTTAGGATCATTGTGTCTTCATAGTAGCTTGGCTTTTAAAAATATGTAATATCTTTCTTTGTCTTTAGTAATTTTCCTTACTCTGAAGTCTCTCCATCAGATATTAATATAGCAATTCCTGCATTATTTTGTTAATATTTGCATATTATGTCATTTTCATGCATTTAATTTCAATTTACCTATTTTATTAAATGTAAAGTAGGTTTCTTATAAACAGCTTATGATTAGGATATTTTGAAATCTACTTTGCTAATCTCTCACTTTTTATTAATGTATTTAGATAATTTTAAAAAATAAGATGCTTCATTTTTTACTAAGTTTTAGGTTTACAGAAAAAAAGATGAAAGAAAAAAACAGTTCCCGTATACCTCCCTGCAGTTTCTCCTATTTTTAGCATCTTACATGAGTGTGGCACATTTGTTAGAATCCATGACCCAGTATTGATACACCATTAGTTACTAAAGCCCATAGTTTATATTAAGCTTCACTCTTTGTGATTGACGTTCCATGGGTTTGGACAAATATATAATGGCATGTATCCAAAATTACTGTGTCATACATAACAGTGTTACTATTCTGAAAATCTCTTGTGTTCAATTTACCCCTAGTCCCCTTTCCCTCAAACTCCTGGCAATCACTGAGCTATTTACTGTGTCTGTAATTTTTCATTTTCCAGAATGCCATGTAGTTGGAATCATACAGAAATTAGTTCGTTAGACCTCGAACTTCGTTCTTCTCCTTCAATATTATGTTGGCTGTTCTGGATCTTTTGTCATTTCATATAAACTTTTGAACCAGTTTGTGGATATCCACTTAATAATTTGCTGGAATTTTGATTGGGGTTCCATTAAATCTACAGATCAAGTTTTGAAGAAATGACATTATGACAATATTGAGTCTTCTTATCCATGTACATAGAATATCTCTCCATTTATTTAGATCTTCTTTGATTTCTTTCATCAGTTTGTAGTTTTTTCTCACATAAACTTTGTACATATTTTATTCTATTTATACTCCATTTATTTAGATCTTTGATTTCTTTCACCAGAGTTTGTAGTTTTCTTATATAAACCTGGTACGTATTTTATTCAACTTATGCCTAAACATTTCTCTTTTCAATGCTAAAGTAAATGGTATTATGCTTTTAATTTCAAATTCCAGTTGCCCATTGCTGGTATATCAGAAATCAATTGACTTTTGTACATTAACATTATATTCTACAACCTTACTATAACCACATGTTAGTTCCACAAATGTTTTGGTTGATTTTGGGGGGATTTTTTACATAAACAGTCATGCCATCTGTGAGCAGAGTCTTATTTCTTTCTTCCAAATCTGTTTAACTTTTATGTGTGTTTCATGTTTTATTGCATTAGCTAGGACCCTCAGTATGATGTTGAGTAAGGTGAGAGCAGGCATTCTTTTTTTTTTTTTTTTTTTTTTTTTGAGACGGAGTCTCGCTCTGTCGCCCAGGCTGGAGTGCAGTGGCGGGATCTCGGCTCACTGCAAGCTCCGCCTCCCGGATTCACGCCATTCTCCTGCCTCAGCCTCCCAAGTAGCTGGGACTACAGGCGCCCGACACTACGCCCGGCTAATTTTTTGTATTTTTAGTAGAGACGGGGTTTCACCGTTTTAGCCGGGATGGTCTCGATCTCCTGACCTCGTGATCCGCCCGCCTCGGCCTCCCAAAGTGCTGGGATTACAGGCGGGAGCCACCGCGCCCGGCCGAGCAGGCATTCTTGCCTTGTTTTTCATCTTACCAGGAAAGCATCTAACTTCTTACCAGGGAATATGATGTTAGCTGTAGGTTTCCTATAGACATTGTCACTTTGAGGAAGTTTCCCTCTATTCCTAATTTGCCGAGAGTTATCGTTAATGGATGTTGGATTTTGTCAAATGTTTTTCTGCATCTGGTGATGTGATCTTGTTTTTTTTCTTTTTCTTGTTAATGTGATGAAATATATCAGTTTATTTTCAATTGTTGAACTAGCCTTTCATAATTAGGATAAGGTCCACTTCATCATCTTTTTACACATTATTGGATCCAATTTGCTAATACTTTGTTCAGGATTTTTGCTTAATGAAAGATAGTGCTCTTTGTTTTTTCTTTCTTGTAATGTCTTTGGTTTTGGTGTATGGTAATAATGACCTCATAGAATAACTAGGGAAGCATTCTGTATGCTTCTATTTTTTGGAAAAGATTCTGGAGAATTGTTATAATTTTTCTTTTAAGTGTTAGAATTTACCAGAGAACTCTCTGGGGCTTGGTACTTTCTATTTTATCAGCTTATTAATTATTGATTCAGTTCCTTTGATAGATATAGGACAACTCAGATTGTCTTTTTCTCCTGGTGTGAATTTTAGTAGATTGTATATTTCAAAAAAGTGCTGCATTTTATGTCGTTTATCAAACTTATGAAGTTGTTAATAATATTTCTTTATTTTTTTAAATGTTTTAATGTCCATAGTATCTATAGAGGTGGTTCTTCTTTAAATGTTGATATCAATAATTTGTATTCTTTTTCTCTCTTACTCTGGATAGAGATTTACCAATTTTATTTATCTTTTCAAAGAATCAGATTTTTATTTGTTGATTTTTTTCTATTGATTTTTCTGTCTTCAATTTTATTGATTTTTATATTTTTCTTCTCCTTATTTCGAGTCTAATTTGTTCTTCCTTTACTAGCTTCCTAAGGTGAAAAGTTAGATTATTAATTTTAGACCCTCCTTGGGATGCAACATGTACATTCAATGCTATAATTTTGGTCTAAGCATTGTTTTACTGCATTTCACACACTTCCGTGAGATGTAAGCGAAAATGAAAAGCTATAACCACCCTCTATAACTTACCGCAGTAGCTTTTCCATCCCCTTAATTTTTATCTCTATGGGTCTTCAAATTTAAAGTTGTATTTTCATTTTCATTTAGTTCAAAATATTTTACAATTCCTCTTGAGACTTCCTTGATCCATTTTTTATTTAGAAGTGTGATGTTACGCCTTCATGTATTTTAATGTTTTCCAGTCATCTTGCTGAATTTGATTTCTAGCTTAATTTCACTGTAGTCATAGAGCATAATTTGCATGACTTACATGCTTTTAAATAAGTTGCTTTTTAATGGCCTAGATAGTGATGTGTCTTTGTGAACATTCCATGGGAGCTTCAGAAGCATGTGTATTCTGCTGTTGGGTGAATTATTCTACACATGTCAATTGGATTAATGTCACTGCTGACTTGAATTATAATATGTCTTCCCTAATTTTTTGCCTGCTTAATCTGCTAATTACTAGTAGAGAGATGTTAAAGTCTCAAAGTACAGTAGTAAATTCATCTATTTTTCCTTGAAGTTCTATTAGTTTTTGCCTAACATATAGTGATGCTCTGTTTTTAGGTGTGTAAACACTAAGGATTGTTATGTCTTCTTGGAGAACTGACCGCATTTTTATTATGTAATTACTCTCTTTATTTCTGATAATTCTTCTTGTTCTGAAGTGGGATGTGTCATTAATAGAGCTACTCCTGCTTTCTTTGGATTACTGTTAGCATGCTATTGTTGCCAGTGGGCTGTTTCAGGTTCTTGACTTTGCTGCACAAAAAACTTTGAGAACGAGTCCAAAGTAACAGTAAGCAAAAGAGTTTATTGCAAAGCAAAAGTACACTCTGACAGCTGATCAGAGCAGGCTGCTCAAAGGTGAGACAGCCCTGTCTGATGCAGGGGGATCGCCCTTTATGGGAGATTTACATGATTATTCATGGAGGGGTGGGAAGGGGTGTTCTGATGAGTATGTTATGGGTAGTCCCCTGGCTGCACAGGTGCTGTGGTTGTACATGCTAGGACTTAACATTGCATGTATCATTAGCATCTTAAATCTCCACCCAGGGGTGTTTTTCTTTTACTATTATAGTGAATATAGGTCAGTCCAAGGACACTAATCATGGGTTTCTGTGCTTGTGTGAATTTGGGAATTCTCCCTTCTATTTTTCTACCTCCTTGCTGCAGGATGTTCTAATCCTGAGCCCATGATGTGGTTTGTGCACTGTCGGGTAGTTTATTCTCTCCATCTATTTAGCAAGTTTGTTCTCCTTTAAGGGAGGCTATGACCACCCTTTATAATTTACCTCAGTATCTTTTCCATCCCCTTAATTTTTATCTCTATGAGTCTTCAAATTTAAAATGAGCTTCTTGTAGACAGCTGGGTCTTGTTTTTTGATTTACTATGACAGTCTCTGTATTTTAATTGGTGTGTTTTAGACCATTGACAGTTAAGATGATTATTGATATAGCAATTAATATGTACCATCTGTGTTAATGATTTTTCTTTGCCGTCCTTGCTCTTAGTTATTTTTGTCGCGCATAGTTTTCTACTTTTTGTGTTTTAATTGAGCACTTTATATAATTTCATTTTCTCTCCTCCCTTAGCATATCAATTATACTTTTTTAAAGTTTTAAAACATTAGTCCTAGAGTTCGCAGTATATTTTTACAACTAATCCAAGTACACTTTCAAATGACACTATACCACTTCACAGGTAGAAGATATATTAATAACACAATATTCCTAATTCTTCCTTCCTTTCCCTTTTATCATTGCTATCTCTCACTTCATGTCTACAAAAGTATACAAAAGCATATATATATGCATACATAACCATATATTGTTGCTGTTATTATTTTGAACAAACTATTATGTCTTTGATCAATTAAGAACAAAAAAAGAATGTTTTACTTTACTTTTACTTATTAATTCATTGACTCTCTTCTTTTATTTATGTAGATTGGAGTGTCTGACCTACATCATTTTCTTTCTGAACTTCCGTTAACATTTCTTGCAAGGTAGGTCTACCAGTAACAATGCCTTCAGGTTTTGTTTGTCTGAGAAGAACTTTAGTTCTTATTACTTTTGAAGGATAATTTTACAGGGTGCAGAAATCTAGGCTGGTGGTTTTTCTCTCAACCTCACTCTTCTTGCTTGCATGGTTTCTAAGAAAATTTAAGAAGTAATTCTTATTTTTGCTCCTTTATATGTAAGGTATTTTTCCTCTCTGGCTTCTTTCAAGACTTTTTTTTTCTTATTTTTGATTTTCTGAAGTTGAATATGAAATGCCTAGGTGTAATTTTTCTTTTCATGTATCCTGTTTGGTGTACTCTGAGCTTTCTTGATCTCTGGTTTGGTGTCTGACACTAGTTTGGAAGGAATTTTCAGTCATTATTGTTTCAAATATTGCTTCCATTTTTTTCTCTCTTTCCTGTCCTTTTAAAATTCCCAATATATGTATTAACTCCTTTTGTAGTTTTGTTACAGTTCTTTGATATTCTATTCTGTTTTTACTGAGTAATTTTTTTCCTTGCTCTTTAGTTTTGGAAATTTCTATTATCATATCATCAAACTCAAAGATTCTTTTTTGGCTATGTCCAGTCTATTAATGAGCCCATCAAAGCCCTTCTTTATGTCTATTACAATGTCTTTGATCTCCAGCAATTCTTTTTTGATTTTTTTCTTTGTATCCCCATCTCTCTGTTTACATAATTCATCTGTTCTTGCATGTTGTCTGTTTACTAGAGTCCTTAGCACATTAATCACAATTATTTAAAATATCTGCTTTGATAATTCCAACATTCCTGCCATACTTGACTCTGCTTATGATGCTTGTTCATACTTTTCAAACTGTTTTTTTCTTTGCATTTCAGTCTATCTTGGAATTTTTTTTGTTGAAAAGTGAACACAATGTACTAAGTAAAAGCAGCTATAGTAAATAGGCCTTTAGTAATGTAGTGATAGAGTGTAAGGGGAAGGGGAGCATTCTATAGTCCTATGATTAGGGCTCAGTCTTTTGGTGAGACTGTGCCCCTTGACTGTGAACTTCATCAGTGCTTCTCAGTTCCTCCCCGACTTTAGATGAGACATAATGGCTGAAGGGAGGACGAAGTTGTATATTTCCCTTTTTCCATGTGGAAATCTAAAAGGGATTGTAGTTGAGTGTTTCTCTTCCCCCACATGAAAGGCCAGAAGGAGATGGAGTTATTTATTCCCTTTTGTGCATGTGGAAGGCTACAGCCAGTTGAGTATTTTCCTTCTGTCACATATAGTAGGCTCTGATAAAACCCCAGCAGATTAGGCCCTAGTAAAATAGTTTCTCCTGGTGCAGGTCTTGTGAAAAAGAACTGAATACTCCAGCATGTTTCCAAATGGTTCCTTTCCCCTTCCTCCTGCCAGAAGCATGAGGACATTTTTTCCAACATTCACTGAGAACCTAGTAGAGTTTCTGGAGGCATAATTCACAAAAGTATGGAGACCTTCAATGAGTGTACCCACTTGAAGTTTTTAACTTTCAGAGTTGTTCACATTGAGCTCCAGCAATTTGTTAATTACAGTTTCAGGTTTTTCTACTTCAGCACTGGTGATTTTTTTGTGTGTGTTTTTTTGTTTTTTGTTTTTTCTTTGGTGGAGTTTTGCTCTGTTGCACAAGCTGGAGTACAATGACATGATCTTGCCTCACTGCAATCTCCACCTCCCGGCTTTAAGCAATTCTCCTGCCTCAGCCTCTTGAATAGCTGGGATTACAGGTTCCCGCCAACATGCCCAGCTAATTTTGGTATTTTTAGTAGAGATGCGGTTTCACCGTGTTGGCCAGGCTGGTCTTGAACTCCTGACCTCAGGTGATCTGCCCACTTCGGCCTCCCAAAGTGCTGGGATTACAGGCGTGAGCCACTATGCCCAACCCAGCACTGGGTCTTATGGAGATTTCTGCTCATCATTTCTGCATGAGTTAAGTTTTGCTTCTATGTATCTGCCTGTCTGTCTCTCCAATTTGGGGGTCCTTGGTTTGCTCTCTGATCTCATTTCCATGACAGATCTGAGAAGAGGTGTTGAGTTTTTTGTTTGTTCAACTTTTTACTAGTTGTTAGGATAAAGTATGACTATCAAGCTCCTTACATACTGGTTTAGAACCAGAAGGTTTTCCTCTCATGTTTGAAGGACAGTTTTGCTAATTATAAAATTTTCAGTTGACAATTTTGTTCCTCTGCCTACACTCCTTTTGTTTTATCATACTTGGAGTTCATTGAGATTCTTGGATTTGCATATACATGTCTTAAAAATTTGGGAAATTTTTGATCCTTATGTTACCAGAAAGGAGTCCCGATACAGACCCCAAGAGAGGGTTCTTAGAGCTTACACGATAAAGAATTCAGGGCGAGTCCACAGTGCAAAGTAAAAGCAAGTGGTGAAAGAACAGCTACTCCATAGACAGAGTAGGACATTCCTGAAAGTGAGAGGAAGAACACATCCATCCTAGGTACGATGGTTGCATATATGGGGAGATGTGCTCTCCTACAAGAGTTTTTGATAAAGGATTAATTTTCTTAATTACCATATTTTGCAAGAATCAATATTATTATCTTTAATGAAAAATTAGGAATGCCCTTATTCTCCAGATACTGAGATACCTGGACACTCCCAAGTCTGGGTCTGTTTTAGTAAGCATCATTAATTTGTTCACTGATTCATAAACATCTAGAAGCTAGGAAAATGCCTAATATTCTGAGAATGCAGTCCAGCAAGTCTCTGCCTCATTTTCCTAGCCCTCACTCAAAATGGAGTCGCTCTGGTTTGAACGCCTCTGACACTTATGTTGTCATATAAATCACTGCCTCCTTCTTTCTCTCTTCTGTTTCTGGAACTTCTGTAATGAATAATTGGACTACTCAATGGTGACTCTTAAATACCTTAGACTCTATTCACTTTTTTTTTTTTTTTCCTTTTTGGCCCTTAGACTCACTACTTTTAAATAATCTTTCTTTTTGTTTGCTGCTTCTTTCCACTGCCTGCTAAAGTCTTCTGTTAAAGCTGTCTCATAAATTTTTCAATTCACTTACCATATTTTTCATCTCCAGAATTTCTTGTTGGTTCTTTTAAAATAATTTCTGTCTCTTTGTTGATATTCTCCTTTTGTTCATATATTATTTTCTTCGCTTTTTAGTTATTTGTCTATGTTTTTCTTTAGCTCCTTGAGCATAAGATAGTTGTTTAAAAGTCTTTGTGTAGTATTTCAAATGTCAATGTTTCTTCAGGGACAGTTTCTGCAGCTGTATTTTCTTCTTTGATTGGGCCATGGCTTTCTTGTCTCTTTGAACACCTTGTAATTTGTTATTGTTATTGTTATTGTTATTGTGGAAAATGGGGCATTTAGAAAAAAAGGCATTTCCTCTCCCAATGTTTGCAGACTGAGTCTGTGTAGGAAAAGCTCTTCAATAATTAGAAGGGCATGTTCTTTGACTTTAGATCAGCCTGGTCTGAAGGCTTTCATCTTCTGTGGTCTTTTATCAGACTTCATTTTCTCTGGGCCTGTGTGTGCTTTTATTTATTTTTTCCTTGTGTATACAGCCTTTTAGAAAATGTCTTAATTTCCCTAGGGGTCATAGCCCTGCTTCTTCTCAGAGTCAAGAATATTCTATTTTATTCCTCTATCTGTAATCTCATGCTCCAGGCATTTGCAGGTCTATCATGCATCTCACAGCAGCATTCACGAGCTATGTCTGTTGTCTCTCATTGGTTTTCATAGCCTGAGATATGAGCTGTTCTGATCTTTGCTGTCTGACCTATGAGTTAGAAACAACAGAGACTAATCCAACATGGAGCTTCCAGACAGGTTAGAACATTTCAAATAAAGTCTGGTTTACCCTTCCAGTTCCAGGGAAGGAATTGGAAGCTCAGCTATCACTTTCCTAAGACCATTCTGTGCAGTTCCAGGGATGGGATGTGGCAAAGCCAAGTAAAAATGCCACACAATTTTCTACTGCTTTGGATGTGGCTCCGTTTTGTTTGGATGTTCGTGTGTTTTCTGTAAACCTTGAGCTGTTTTCCATAGTTCCTAAATGTCAGTTTAACCAATTTGTAGTTTTTTCTTTAATGTTTCCATGGGGGACAAAGTTCTAAAGTTTTCTAGTCTGCCATTTTTCTGACATCACTGAGATTAATTTTATGCCCCAGCATATGTTTTTTTCTAGGTAAATATTCTGTGTACATTTAAAAAAAATGTGTATCTGACAGTTGGTATTTGAAATTTTCTATACATGTCAATTAGGTCAAGTGGTAATGTTGGTCAAATCTTTTACACTCTTACTGAATTTTTGACTTCTTGTTGTAGAAGTTTTTGATATAGGGGTATAAAAATGTCTGACTAGGCCAGGCGTGGTGGCTCATGCCTGTAATCCCAGCACTTTGGGTGGCTGAGGTAGGTGGATCACCTGAGGTCGGGAGTTCAAGACCAGCCCGGCCAACATAGTGAAACCCCATCTCTACCAAAAATACAAAAAATTAGCTGGGCGTGGTGGTGGGTGCCTGTAATCTCAGCTACTCAGGAGGCTGAGGCAAGAGAATCACTTGAACCTGGGAGGCGGAGGTTGCAGTGAGGCGAGATCGCACCATTGCACTCCAGCCTGGGGAACAAGAGTGAAACTCAGTCTCAAAACAAACAAACAAACAAAAATCTAACTGTAATTGTGGAAAGAAAAATGTTTATTTTTCTTATAATCTTTATATTTTGCTTCATGTATATTGAATGTACATGATTTGTTATATAAACATTTAGGTTTTTTATTTCTCTTGACAAACTGACCCTTTCGTTATTTTGAAATGACTTTATCTCTAGTAATACCCATTCAACTGAAATTTACTTTGTGTGATACTACTATAGTCACTCCAGATTTCTTTGAGGTAGTGTTTATTATATATTTTTTCGTCTTTTTACTTGTGTTTTTCCATTTAAAGTATGTTTTTTTGGAGGCAGAATACTGTTAGCTTTTGCTTTCTTTGAATCTAATCTGTCAATATTAGAGTTTTTGGGCAATTGATACTAATGTGATTATTAATATGGTTAGATTTAAGTTTATTTTCTTAAAATGGTTTTTCATTTGTTCCCTCTGTGCTTTGTTACTTTTTCTCTTTTTTAGCCCTTTTTAAAGGATAATTGAGAATTTCTTTAAGAATTTCATCTTATCTCTTTGATTGGCTTATCAGCCTTTACTCTTTGTTGGCATATTTTAGTGGTTGGTTTAGGGTATGTAGCATATATTTTTAACTTTTCACAGTGTATATTCAAGTTATAGTATATTACTTCACATATAAAATTTTTGAATAGCATACTTCCATTTTTCTCCTCATAGGCATTGTGCCATCACTGCCATAAATTTGACTTCTACATGTGTTATAAACCTCATGCTATATTGTTATTACTGTTACTTAAACAATTATATTTTAAAAATACTTAAATGATAAGAAAAACATTCCAGAGTTTTATTCATGTAGTTACCATGTCCAGTGTCCCACAGTCCTTTGTATGCATTTATATTTCCATCTAGTATCAGTTTTTCAATTTTCTTCTGCCTAAAAACTTTCTTTAACATTTATTGTAAAGTGGCTATGTTGGAGATGAATTATTTCAGGTTTTCTAAGTCTGAAAAATGTCTTTATTTTCATTTTTTAATGTTTTTTTCACTGCATCTAGAATTTTAAGTAGAAATATTCTTACTTTAAGTACTTAAATAAAATTTCTAGTTATATCATACAATGATTAGATTTTTTAAAAATATTTTTTCACATGTACTTTGAAGTTTTTAATTTCTGTTCGTACAATGCTGCCATTATAATGGCACTTAAATATCACTACAACCCAAGCATTTTTCTGAGTGTCCAGTACGTATCCATTCACTTAATGTTCACAGGAAGATTTGGAGGCATGCCCTGTTATTATCCCCACTTAAGAGGCCA
The DNA here is from genome assembly GCF_000001405.40 of Homo sapiens. NCBI lineage: Eukaryota > Metazoa > Chordata > Mammalia > Primates > Hominidae > Homo > Homo sapiens. Next base: position 39,297,404 of record NC_000009.12, on the reverse strand, counting down.
AGAGAGTACTTGCCCAGAGTTGCTCAGTTAGTAAAACATGTTCCATAGGTGAATAAAACTTTGCCTTTGCAAACTTTAAATGTTGAAAGATAGGTTTAAAGGGTGATTATTGCTATTATTTTTTAAGTTTTATTTTAGGTTCAGGGGTACATGTGCTGATTTGTTAGGTAGATTACACATCATGGGGGTTTGGTGTACACATTATTTTGCCACCCAGGTAATAAGCACAGTACTAGATAGGTAGTTTCTCAGTTGTCACCGTCTTCCCTCCCTTTACCCTCAAGTAGGCCCCAGTGCCTGTTGTTCCCTTCTTTGTGTCCATATGTACTCAGTGTTTTGCTCCCACTCATAAGTGAGAACATGCGGCATTTGGTTTCCTGTTCCTGTGTTTGTTTGCTTCGTATAATGGCCTCCAGCTCCATCCATGTTGCTGCAAAGGACATGATCCCGTTCTTTTTTATGGTTGTGTAGTATATTCTGTGGTGTACATGCACCACATTTTCTTTCTTTCTTTTTTTTTTTTTCGAGCGGGAGTCTTGCTCTGTCACCCGGGCTGGAGTGCAGTGGTGCGATCTCGGCTCACTGCAAACTCCGCCTCTGGGGTTCACGCCCTTCTCCTGCCTCAGCCTTCCGAGTAGCTGGGACTACAGGCGCCCACCACCACGCCCGGCTAATGTTTTGTATTTTAAATTGAGACGGGGTTTCACCGTGTTAGCCAGGATGGTCCCCATCTCCTGACCTCGTGATCCACCGGCCTCCACCTCCCAGAGTGCTGGGATTACAGGCGTGAGCCACCGCGCCGGGCCTATGCACCACATTTTCTTTATTCAGTCTACCATTGATGGGCATTTAGGTTGATCCCATGTCTTTGCTATTGTGAATAGTGCTGCAATGAACATACACATGCCTAGGTCTACCATTCTCATTACTGGGTAGAATAGTAATTCTGTTTTGAGTTCTTTGAGAAATCACCAAACTGCTTTTGACACTGGCTGAACTAATTTACATGTCCACCAGTAGTGTCTAAGCATTCAAAATGGTGACTTTTTGTTTGTTTGTTTTTGAGAAAGTCTCACTCTGCTGCCCAGGCTGGAGTGCAGTGGTGCGATCTCGGCTCACTGCAACCCCTGCTTCCTGGGTTCAAGTGATTCTCATGCCCTAGCCTCCCAAGGAGCTGGGATTACAGGCATGCACCACCACGCCTGGCTAATTTTTGTATTTTTTGTGGAGAAGGGGTTTCACCATGTTGGCCAGTCTGGTCTCGAACTCCTAACCTCAAGTGATCCGCCTGCCTTGGCTTCCCAAAATGCCAGCATTACAGGCATGAGCCACCGCACGCAGCCTCAAAAGTGTGATTTTTTAAAGAGCAAATAAAATACATCAAAATTAACTTATATCTGAAAAAAAGAAACCTAATAGACCAGTACTTTGATATGTGATTCAACTAGAGCTTTCATAAAAAAACTTTAGGCTCCCTAAAATGGCTCTTTATTGGATTAGTACAATTGGCTGAATTTTTGTTTAAGGGTAAAATTTGCCCAAGAATGTAGGGCTTTAAAATTTATTTGCCGGCGGGGTGTGGAGGCTCACGCCTGTAATCCCAACACTTTGGGAGGCCGAGGTGGGCGGATCACGAGGTCAGGAGATCGAGAGCATCCTGGCTACGGTGAAACCCCGTCTCTACTAAAAATAAAAAAAAATTGGCCGGGCGCGGTGGTGGGCGCTTGTAGTCCCAGCTACTCTGGACGCTGAGGCAGGAGAATGGCGTGAACCCGGGAGGCGGAGCTTGCAGTGAGCTGAGATCGCACCACTGCACTCCAGCCTGGATGACAGAGCGAGACTCCGTCTCAAAAAAAAAATACACACACACACACACACACACACACACACACTCTCAGCCGGGCGTGGTGGCGGACGCCTGTAGTTACACACACACACACACACACACACACACACACACACACACACTCTCTTAGCCGGGCGTGGTGGCGGGCGCCCGTAGTCCCAGCTACTCGGCAGGCTGAGGCAGGAGAATGGCCTGAACCCGGGAGGCAGAGCTTGCAATGATCCCAGATGGCGCCACTGCACTCCAGCCTGGGTGACAAAGCAAGCCTCCTTCTCAAAAAAAAAAAATAAAGAACAAATCATATGAAACAAAAAAATAGCAGTTCTAACATGAATGTGAATCTGTATTTAATGGCAACTACACTTAGGTGTTTATGAGAGAATATTAAAATTTCATAAATTTACATTGAACGCTTAAGAAAAGAAACATATTGGCACAAAACTCTTTGAACCATGAAAAGTCCACTTTATTCAATATTTATGTGGAAATTATTCTGGCATAACTTCATTCTACACTGCTACAACAGGAAACTATAGGAACATAAGGACAAAATGCCAACATTTAACTGCAGCCTTTCCTGGGAAACATAATATGTTTAAAAAGCCTTTAGAGACAAAGAAGAGTCTATTTAATTTATGGCATGAAAAGAAATGTGACAACAAAGCATTTTGTAGTCATGGTTATCAGTCTTTGAAAAAGTTCTTAATAGGATTTGGGTTTATTTTAATTAATGAAAATAAAATATGAATAATTTATTGAACTCAGTATATTATAGCAGTGGGAACTTCTCATAAATTATTCTCAGATAATTTTCACAAGCTAATCAAAAAAGACATAATTCTGTTTATTATGAAAAATGGGATCCAAGGTTTCGAGAGAACTTTCGTGTCTTGCTATTGTTTCTAAAGTCTCCCTCCAGACCATCTCATTTCTGAGTCACAGACTTTCCTAAATAACAAGTGCAGCCAAATATGTTATCACTTCAGGGTCATTTTTGTTTGTTTGTTTTCTCCCTTTCTCTCTCTCTTTTTTTGTATCCTTATACCCGGCAGCAGTTTCTTTGAAAATTTGGACCAGAAGGTGCATAACAAGTTGTTCTGCAGAAGTTCTTATCTGATATTCTTAGGGAGCTATCCTGCATGTAATCTTCATTTTTTTTTCTCTACCATCATGTAGGCATACTCAGTGTAGACTACCACAATCCTGGATACCTCTCTGCTTAGATTTACAATCTCTGCTAAGATTTGCCACTGCAGAAAGTGTAGTAGTTTCACTACATATGAAAAAAAAGACTGCCTTCTAACTGCGTACTTATTTCTAGCTTCTAGATTGCACATTTACAGTGTTTGCAAAAGCAATAACTATTCTTACCGGTAGGAGATGAATTACACACTCCTTCTTCTTCTATAATAAGAGTTATCTACCTTCTGGTCAAAGTGCTTCCTTAAGGCACTTCGAAGCTCATCTGCTGGCAGGCATGAAGCGTGCTGTTCCCCTGAGCCTTCACGAACTGGATCTACTCAAGACAAAACAGTCTCTGCTTCATTATATTCAGAAATTCAGGCTTGCCATGAGGCTGTTTAGTGTTCTGAAACACAAATGCTGGCAAATCAAAAATTCTCCCAAACACGTATCTACCAATTTTTGCTCCTTAAATAGGAACAGTATTTTCTCATATCCTTAGATTAGCGGAGTTAAAAAGATGCCCCAAACATTGAGTCCCATTATTTTAAGCTTGAAGTTTTATAATTATAGCTTTATCCTTGCCCCATGAGAGACGCATTCTCTATCAAGCCATTCAAGCAAGGATCAGTTTTCAGTTTAGATAAAACTACAAAATGAATAAATTCACTTCTGACATTTAATTAATGCCTTTCTTTACTCTCTCCTACCCCTACACTCCACCCCTTATAGTACTTGCCTCCTCTCATTCTCCCCATCTCCAGCCCAAATCCAGATGACTTCTGCTATATTAAAGTTTGCTTTCAGGAAAAGATCTGAAATCCGTAAGCGGTTTCATACTAAATATTAGCACACTTCAGTGGTAGAACATTGATTTGCTGAAGTCTGGGGTTGATTTCCTAGCCCCTAAAATCACATTCTAACTGTGACTACCTGTTCTTTCTATAAGTTTAACATAGATTTAGGGTGAGACTTATCTTTTTATATAAACGAAAATATGTGGGAGAATGCTTTCTTTGTTTCTTTCTTTTTTTTTTTTTTTTTTTTTTTTGAGACAGAGTCTTGCTCTTTCACCCAGGCTGGAGTGCAGTGGCGTGATCTCGGCTCACTACAAGCTCCGCCTCCGGGGTTCAAGCGATTCTCCTGCCTCAGCCTCCCAAGTAGCTGGGACTACAGGCACTCACTACTATATCCGGCTAATTTTTTGTATTTTTAGTGGAGATGAGGTTTCACCATGTTAGCCAGGATGGTCTCGATTTCCTGACCTCGTGATCCGCCCACCTCGGCCTCCCAAAGTTCTGGGATTACAGGCATGAGCCACCGCACCCAGCCAAGAATGTTTCTTTCATACGTGAGCACATAGGGTATTTCATGTATTAGCATTAATGTTCCTTATCAAATATGCAATCAGGGGCTCTCTATAGAATCAATTTCAATAAAACAGTTAAGCAATTTTTTAATGGAGTAGGCATTGATTATAATTTTCTCCTCTTCTGACTTTTCAATTCTTCCCAATTAGCCAGTGATAAGAAACTGGAAAGAAAATTTCAACTTGTTTACCATTCACTTGTTTTTTTTAACCTACTGTAGTTTGGAAGGATTAAATTTTAGGCTAGCTGATTCATTTCACAAAAAAATTTATAAAATTTATAATTCATTTCGCACAAAAAAAGTTTTAATAAAAAATATTTCCCTTTGTATTTGAGCTCAACTTAATTCCCAATTGGCCCTGAAATGTGAGAATTGTTTTCCTAAAATATTGATGGATGTCAGAAGGCCACAAGAAGTGAGACCTCATCTTTTTTGCTCTATGAGAACATCAATCTTTCTATTTCTGTGAAAAATAAGGAAAGGTAGGTGGACTCTGGTGATTTCCTGATGTTGAAGTTAATAAAAAGCTCCATTCAAAACTACGATATTCGGCACAATTAATCTTCCCTGTTAATATAAACAGAAGAAAGAGTAAACTATTTGACCTCAAAGCTCTGGTTTAATTTCTAGCAAGTACGATTACTTCGGTTCACAATTTAAAAAATAAAAGCTTTAGATTTCTATTCCAAGCCATTACTTGATAAATCATTCATTAAAGAACATGAATGCACAAAACAAAAATAAACTTTTTTTAAAAATTTGGTAAGTGTCAGTGTTCTAGGATGTGCTGGCCATTCTTTGTGGAGGTCCTCAGAACCACCCTCTACTCTTCCAGCCCCAGTGTCACCCTTCCTGCCCGAGTGTCACCCTTCCTGCTCGAGTGTCACCCTGCTCCCCTCCCAGCTGACTTCCAGTTGGTTTTGGCTAATGAGAGACACCCACAGAAACAGTAAGGTTTCAGAAGTCAGAGCTCAAAAAGTTTCTTCCCTACTCACTCCTGTTTCCAGGTTCTGACAAGAAATTCTTTTACTTCTATGACTGTGGCTCCTGCCAGACCTTTGTGTTCCCCGGCTGCTGCCTTCTGGGGATCTGGCAGCAACCGTTCCTCCCTCTGCGCCTCTGCTGTAGGTAGTAAAGGCTTTCTGCTAGTGCTTGTCTTTGGTTGCCACAATGTCACCTGGTGGGTCCCTTCACTTTTCTTTTCAGCCTGTCCCTTTAAACTATCTGAGCAAATCATGCTTTCTTTCTGGGCCTTGACTAATGCAGTAGTGCATTTTAAAAATCTGACTAATATCACATTGCATTGCTTAGAAAAATATCATAAGAAAAATAATTCTTTGAGAAGTAGCATATTTGTGAAAGTAGATCTATTTAGGAATTAAAATGCTATTAGATTGGCAGGCAAATGTTATATTTTTGTATTCTCACTCTATTTTCTAGAACTGAAAACTAAGTTCTAGCTTAGACTGCAATGCACACGGTATACTACAAAGAGAGATGATAAAATTGCAGGATGAGAGTATAAAGTACAAGGTAAAACCTTATTGAAACAAAATAAGCACAACTCTATGTACAGGTTGTATGTGTTTATATATAAGAGCCAAGGCCGGGTGTGATGGCTCACGCCTGTAATCTCAAGACTTTGGGAGGCCAAGGCGGGTGGATCACTTGAGCTCAGGAAGTTCGAGACCAGCCTGGGCAACATGGAAAAACCTTGTCCCTACCAAAAATACAAAAACTTAGCCGGGTGTGGTGGCACTCACTTGTTCTCCCAGCTTCTCAGGAGGCTGAGGCACAAGAATTGCTTGAACCTGGGAGGCAGAGGTTGCAGTGAGCGAAGATCACACCACTACTGCACTCCAGTCTAGGCGACAGAGCGAGACTCTGTCTCAAAAAAAAAAAAGAAGAAGAAGAGCCAAAACAAGGATACATAAGGATACATACCAGCCTGTCAGCCTGTTTTGTATCATTGGTTACCTCAGTGGGGTTGGGGTGATGGTAGTGGCAATTATTAACATTTTCTTTATACAATTCTTTTAAAAATGTTCCTTTTGTAATTCAAAATATTCAAGAACAAATTTCAAAAGAGTCTGTCTTAACAAACATTTACATTCTTATAATCCAGAAGCTAGTCATCAAACACACCTCAGTATCATCATTTGTTCCAATATAAATATACTCACTTCCTAAATATGTGCTATTGCAAAGTAGATCTTATTCCTTTCTTATTCTGGTTGAATCATACAACCATTATCCAGATTGAAATAAAAAATATAATTGTATTTATTATCCATGTTAAGGTTAAATAGAAGGTAAGAAGTTTCAAAGTTTAAATTGCATTATCATGGAAAGTAGGGAAGAAAGGAAATAAAGCAGCAACACATAAAACATTTATATTTGTGATATTCGATATTTTTTCTGGGACATCCAGTGTTCTAGTTACATCGGCCATCTCGAATTCATGTCTTCATTTGTTCAGTAAGTGTGTAGTGTGTGATGATTGTGACGGATGCTTCTCTACTAGGCAAAGTAATTTTTAGAGCCTCACTACTCTTAGTCTGCAAAGTTCATTGCCAGCATTATCACCACAGCAAGTGTCTATGCTGATTTAAATAATAACCATATAGCAGCAATTATAGCCACATAAAATGCATTTCAAGACACACATTTATGTTTAAGGACTTCAAGTCCCCTAACCAAACAACTTAAGTAGAATAAACCTAAATAAGTTTTAAGTCAAAAGCAGGGGAATCAAAACAATTACAAGCCTCCTGTCTTAGAAGAAAATGCTGATGCTTATTGGCTTAACCATATAAAATAGTGTATATACATTTACTAGACATGAACAATTTGGAACAAATTTTGAGTGTACCTATAAGTGTGTAAAATGTATATTTTATGTATTGGGAATAATATTCATAAATATATTCCTCCAATGTTGTAAAAAATGCATGCACCCTCACTACGCTAGTGATTTTACAGTTTAATGAAGCCATTTTGTTTTAATTGCAAATGTCTACCACCGTAGAAGTTTCTTGGCCTTTCTCCATTAAGCCTAACACTTTGAACACCCAAGTTCACTTTTTTTTTTTTTTGTCTTGAGACGGAGTCTGGCTCTGTCGCCAAGCTGGAGTGCAGGGTGCAATGTTGGCTTGCTGCAACCTCTGCCTCCCGGGTTCAAGCAATTCTCCTGCCTCAGCCTCCCGAGTAGCTGGGACTACAGGCAGGCACCACCACGCCCGGTTAATTTTTTGTATTTTAATAGAGACAGGGTTTCACCGTGTTGGCCAGGATGGGCTCCATCTCCTGACCTCTTGGCCTCCTCCGCCTCCCAAAGTGCTGAGATTACAGGCATGAGCCACTGCACCCGGCCAAGTTCACATTTTTAAAGACTCCATCTGATGCCTGACAAATTGGTATAATAATAGATTGACATTTGTTGTTTTACTCTAGGTCCAATTTAGAAAATGATTTCCATTTTCTCTCTTTCTGTCTCACTGAAGGCAACTGATCTGTCAATCAAAACTTTAGATTTATAATTTTTTCTGTAATAAAAGACGTGCTATTTACAGAGTTCTTGTGCAAAAGTAGTTTAAGTGAACCCAATTAATAATTCAAGAATGACTTTGTAAGATTCTTCATCTATTACATTTGAATTCATTTTACATTTTACATCTATTACATTTGAATTCATTTTAATGAAAAAGCCTTTCAAAGTTGTCTTTCTAAAGGGAAGATTAATACACTATTTCTTAGAGATACCATCTAAAAAAGTATCTTTCTTTCTTTTTTCTTTTTTGGAAACTCGCGGTGGTGGTAATGTGAGTGAGTTTGTCAATCTTTGCCCCTACTGTGAATTTGAGAAGCAGAGGAAGAGAAAAAGAGAAAGACCCCCCCCCCCGCCCCCTGCCTCCGCCCCTCCCTCTAGCACACAGTAGGCGCGCAAGGAGTGCAGTGTTAGCTGCTGCTGGACTGAGCTCCTCATCCTACACTTGCAGGGGTTGCTCTTTTGGACAGAAAGCTGGAATAAAACGTAAATTTTAGACTTCCACCAAGGCCAGGACTAGGGTGAAGGGACTAACGCACTAGTCTCAGGAGCAACTGTTAAGTAACGCTAATCCTGAATGAATGAAATAGTTTTAAAATTGAATGTAATCGCAAAGAAAAAAAAACCCATGATAGACAAAATATTAAAACTTTAAATAAAGGCTTGCACTCGCACAACCCAGGCTCACCGGCCTCTCCCTGCTCCTGGCCCGGTTTCCCAGCTTGGTTCTCTACAAGTCAGAATTCCTAGCAAAATCAAAGTGTGCGCGCGTCTGCCCAAGTACACGCCGCAGAGTTATTTCTGCCCCATCTTCCCTATTTGAACTCAAACAGGACAGCATTTTCCTGGGTGCAGCCCCTGCGTTGGGTGAACAGCGCAGTGATAAAGCCTGGCGTTCTCCACCTGCAGGCGGAGGCTGACGGCGCGGTCTTTGGCGCGAGTCCGTGCACCGCGGCCGCCCCGCCCCGGTGGGAGAGAGGGACGGAGGAAGCTGCCGGTATAACGGGAGGAGAGCGCCAGGCGGAGCTGGGGCGTCCCTCCCGCTCGCTTCTTGACTCGCGTTGCTGCCGGCCGCCTCCCGCGCCTAGTGTCCGGGACGCGCCTGAACCTGCCGCCTCCGTGCCTGGGGTGGCGCCGCGCGGCCCCGAGCGCTCCAGAAAGCTGCGGCGCGAGTCCGCGGGGCCGACCTCGGAGACGCAGCTGGGGCCGGGCGCGGCTTGGCGGGAGGGTCTGCAGCGCCGAGGGAGGCTGCTGGTGCGTGAGGAAGAGAGCTAGAGACTGGACAGGGGAGGCAGAGCAGCGTCAGAGCCGCGCAGGGGACGGGAGTGAGAGCAGGAGCGACGCAGAGCGGCCGTCGCCGTGCCCGGGTCTCAGGGCGCCTGGCTGAAGTGAGCATGGCTTCAGTGGCCTGGGCCGTCCTCAAGGTGCTGCTGCTTCTCCCCACTCAGACTTGGAGCCCCGTGGGAGCAGGAAATCCACGTAAGTACAGCAAATGGTTTAAAACTTGCGCTAGGCTGTCTGGAAAACTTTGTTTTTTTTTTTTTATTATCGGTAATATTTGGAAGTGGAATTGCAGAACATGCTCCTGAACATGAAGAACCTTAAAAAAAATTTGGAATTGCAACCCGAAAAAGACGATTTTGTTTACAATAGACTTTCCTCTTGTGGGGGAGTCTAAGATATACCATGCATGTTTTGACTTTTTAATCGATGTACTTGAATATTCATTGAGAAAGTGGACGTTTCTGTAAAACCTGAAAAGCATCTTAATAAGAGATTAGCGTGCAAATGCTGTCATTTATTCCTTTTTAGGATTGTAATATTTTGTAGGAATTAAGTCTAACAGGGAAAAAACTGGCAGACATTACATCATACTGCATCAACTTAGATGTTAGCAGCTTACAGTTTTGCCGACCTTGGCAGCTTCAGAGTTAAAATGCTAATTAACTTCCATGCAGTATAGGGACAGAGCGCCTGTAGGTGAAACTAAATTAATAACCTGTCCTAACTACTAAGGGAATAACACTTGAACACCCCTGTCAGGGGCTTCGTTTCTCATAGTAGAAAGTTCTTGCTTAAAGACAAAACTCAGCCAGTCATTTAGGTGATCTTGAAAATGATTCCTCTCTGGATGCTAATATTTTACATTATTTAATTTGCCATCAGGTTCCCTGTTTTTTATTTTCCTTAATTTGGTAAACACCTAGGAAGCCTTTATTTCTAGAATGGGCTATGATTCTAATGTAATGATGATATTCCAGACAGATGAGCAAAACATAATGTACCCATATTTTATCACACATAAAAATGTTTACACAACATTGCACATTTTTTTTTTGGCTTGGAGTAAATCTCTAGCAGAGAGTTGTCTTTCTTTCTTGATTAATCAAACCATGAGATTAGAATTTTTAAAATGTCTTCCTCTTCCTTCTCAAATCACTTTTATTTTTCTTTCAGTGGCATCTCCCCGCTGTCAGCCTCAGCCCTCTCCTACCAAAATCTCTTTCGAAATAAGTTCCAATAAACGCCAGTGGCCATGTTTGGAAATTTAGATTATTGCAGGATAACCAAGGGTAGCTTTCAGCAGTTCTCCTAAGCTGTCATGAAAAGTTTGCCGTAGCTCAGTGCTGTTCTGCCCGCGGGCTCAAGGGTGGGTTGGTTCTTCACACACAGGGCACGCACATGGGTTCATGAACTCACTGTGCATCATGATTCAGTTGCGCCTCAGTTAATCCTACACTTGGTGTGCCCTTCCAAAAAACAAGCTCCGGATTCCTTTGGTCAGATGCTGTACCGTGTTTCAGATTCAACTTTAATCTGCTTTTGTGAGAAGGCTTTGTGAATAAAACGTTGTTACTTAAATCAAAATCCTTGGGTCTTGTAATGGAAACTGCCGTTTGGCTTAAACAAACATATAAATGAGCTACTTATAGAAAGGCATGCTAGAGTAATTGACCAATCAACTGGCAAAATACAACAACAAAAAAAGTCACTAGAGGTCACTCTTACTATTGAATAAACAGGGCTTCAAAAAGACCTTCCTGGAGAAAAGCAAAGCAATGAAATCTGAGTGAGACCCTGCCACCACCTTTCCTGTTTTTGTTGCATAGTTGTGATTACTTTTTATTCTCAGGATTAGTTGTATTGGTAGTTATTTTGCTTGGAATCCAGTGGAAGGATTACAAAGCCCATAGAAATTAAGCTCTTCTCGTTTATAGTGAACATTCTTTTTGGAGGAGGGGAGGGCAGGGACAGATATTCCAAATGGACTCAGCACCAGACGGGACTCTCGCGAGTTGCTGAGTGACACGTGAAATTTCAATACTACTACTGTGGGTGTTTTCAGTCTTCTTTCGTTGATGAAACTTAGTATCCTCATATCTAATAAATTTTACTAATTTTAAATTACCTTTTAGATCAAGTAATTCTTCCAGATAAAACTATGTAACTGTAATAATTATACCACCTTCAATACCAAGAAGAAAGTCAATAAGGACATCTAAAAGTTTCCTTCTCATGTAGACACCATGAGTTGCTCACGTTATTCACAGCTGGTTTTCGAGAAGCACATTGGCCACCCACGAAGGCAACCTGTTGATGATGGCATGAAATGGCTCTTCATGGGAAGAGCTCTATAGGCCGGGCACAGTGGCTCGCGTCTGTAATCCCAGCACTTTGGGAGGCCGAGGTGGGTGGATCACCTGAGGTCAGGAGTTGGAGACCAGCTTGGCCACCATGGTGAAACCCTGTCTCTACTAAAAATACAAAAATTAGCCGGGCGTGGTGGCAGGCATCTGTAATCCCAGCTTCTCGGGAGGCTGAGGCAGGAGAATCGCTTGAACCTGGGAGATGGAGGTTGCAGTGAGCCGAGATCCCACCATAGCACTCCAGCCTGGGCAACAAGAGGAAAACACAAAACTCTGTCTCAAAAAAAAAAAGCTTTCTAAACATTTGGCATTTTGGGGATTATGTGCAGTTTATCTGAATGTTATTTGACCCGACAAATACATGGGAAAGCTTTGTTAGGAAGATTCTGCATGAAGGGAAATATTTTCCTAACTTCAGTGCCCATAGACTTGCAGTGAGTGAAAGGTCACTTACTGCTCTCATTGAGTCCCTGAAAACAGCAGGAAGCATCAAGAGAAAGATTGAACGCTGGGCACTGATCCCAGGGATACACAAACAAATGGCTGGGCAGATTTTGCAGAAATTCCTGTAACTGGTAAAATGCTGAGTAATAGCCTTTGATGTAACTTTTCAGTGGGTTAATTTATTCATTACTTAGCCTAAAACACTTTTAATTTTAATTGCCTCAATTTTTTCCCCTAAATGGTTATGTTTTGCAAGTTCGCCAGCCAGCCTGGGGAAAGAAGGGTAAGCCTACTATAGAGTGTGTGTGGGTTAGTTAGGAAACTCACTTAGATGTGAAATGTGTCAGGAAAGAGATCTCACAGAGTGTAGGAATAATTATTTTTACAGATGTTTCATTTTGGACCTTTTAGTAATACCATTTAAAGAGAGATTCTGCAGATGAGTAACAGACTCTTAATTTTAGTGTCAAATGGTACTCTATAAAAAATGGAGTTCAGGCCAGGCGCGGTGGCTCACACCTGTAATCCCAGCACTTTGGGAGGCTGAGGTGGGTGGATCAGTTGAGGTCGGGAGTTCGAAACCAGGCTGGACAACACGGTGAAACCCCGTCTCTACTAAAAATATGAAAAAATTTCAGGGCATGGTGGCAGGTGCCTGTGAGGAGGCAGTGAGCTGAGATCGTGCCACTGCACTCCAGCCTGGGTGACAGAGTGAGACTCTGTCTCAAAAAAAAAACCAAAAAATGTAGTTCAGTTGCCTTTATTCATTTTCACCAAACTCTATACAAACAGTACGGAGCATAAGTAGCCCATGGAAGTGATAATCAATTCCAAGACATTGGTTTGATCATGAAAAAAGAAAAATCAAATTACTTGGCGTTCTTCTTCCTCTTCCTCTCCCCTTCTCTTTTTGAACAATTCAGTCCAAGGTCATTCAGTTCAGCTTAGGCATCCATGCTGGGTAGTGGGGAGGCCCAGGACCGTGGCAGAGCATTCAGAAACCAGCAGGGTAAGGAAAGCATCCACAGTGTAGCAAGGGTGGGGACCTGGAGAGACAGGAGACAGCACTGGTGGTGACCTATAGCAAGTTGTCAGAGGTTGAGTGGAGTGAGGAAGGAGGCATTCCAGATTGACGGAGGCTAAGAAAACAAGGCAACTAAATACTACTCTGCATTAAATGCTTATGTTATAAAGGACATGATTGGGAATTGGTGCAACTTGAACAAGATTGGGGATTAAATATTGGAACTTTATCCATGATGACTGGGATGATCATATTATGGTTATATAGGAGAACATCTTTGTTGTAGGAAATGTACATTGAAGTATTCAGGGGTGATACAGCATATTAGCGTAGTTCTTCCATGTTTTCTGTAAATTGGTTTCAAAATCAAATGGTTACTTTAAAAAACCATTCAAAATTGTGTTTAAAGGAAACATGGACCAATAGAAAAACTCAGAATAAGTAAATGTAGTTAAATTGATGCATTTTACCTAAGAGATGTAGATTAAAAATAAAGAGGCTGAAAAAAAAACAGTTATGAGAAATAACAGTTCATTTATGTATGTCTCTAAATCAAATTAGCCTGGATTTCTGAATGACAAAGATGTGATTGGCACTGGGATTGTTCCCCATTCTTTTCGGGAAGTTTATTGCCTAGGACATCTGTATCAGTCTTCAAAGTACTTTTTAAAGCTTGAATATCTGAATGAACCCGTCAGACTGACTGTTATCTGGTCTTCTGTAATGGGCTTCCGCACCTTTGACGAGACTCTTAGCTGAAAGGTTGCTTGTCCCTAGGCCCGGTTGCTCCACGTTGTAAGAGCATTTGCAAACGCTTGGTTGTACATGATTGTGCACATGTCAAGTCTGCTCTGTCACTGTAGAAAAAATATTCCTTTTCACTTGACATATAAAGCATGGAATTGTTTGTTTTAAATGTCTTTTGTCAAGGATTTCATATATCTGCTTGATGTGTTGTACTGTATAAAAGACAAGTGTGAAATTCATTGCTTACTATGATAGCCTTAACAGGACTACAGTAAATCTAGTTTTCTAAAAAATGGAGTATATGCTTAGCTTGGTTAAAATTTTATAATGAAATGACTACTCTGGTAATAAAAATTAAAAAATATCATAAAGTGGGGGCTAAAAAATGATACTGCATGTGTTCCAGTTAATGAACATTTTTGTTGTAATAATACGAAGAGTGATTGAAATCTAAAAACATTTGAGATTTTAAAATAGTTTTAACCTTATAACTACAGGATTGTAATTTAAGTAGCATACCTACTTAATAAGGCAGCAATTAAAATTATTGCTAAGAATTAAATTACCAAGAAGACATGGTCTAGTATGTATTGCCTGGGCTGTGGTTTGAATTACTTTTGATTAAGTATAATCACATTTTTTGAGAGTATAAAAACAGAGGATATTACTTGCTTCTAATTCACAGATGTGTTTATGAACCATTGGCAATTAAAGCATTTGCAATTGAGGCCCTAAGAAAATTTTAGGTTAAAATAACATGTTGAGTTATGCCTTATAACTCAGTATATGCTTATACTTTATATGCTTTACGGAGTTTTGAATATATAATATATATATATAATAGTATATTTTTCCAGGAAATATATAACTTGTAGTTCCTTGACTTATTTTGTAACTAAATCCCATGGAAAAAAGTTTATTGAATGTCATTGTTTCTCAGGCAAATGTAGAGTTAGGAAAATGATATATATACATATTGGGAATCTTTTAGAAGGCTTGGACTTGGTAGCTCAAATCTTCTACAACCTTGAGCTTCAACTTTCTGGCCGGTTCAAGAGATCTCTTCACTGTCCTTTTCATGTAAAGTCAATGTTTATGGAACACTAGACCAAAATGGAAGGATTCCTTTGGAAACTGAACAAACAGTTGAATTAGTCTTTGACTTGATGGAGTGATTTGATCTAAAATATTACCTAACCGTTTTAGATATCTGTTCAATCAGAGCTGCCTCCATATACGCAAATGATAATTTGTCTTGGATTTTTAGATATCTTAGCCCTCAGACAAGCTAATAGAGTTTAAATTGAACCTGGTGTTTTAGGGACAGTTGAATTGTTGGGATGCCCAGGAAAACAGTCACATTTTTCTATAAGTATGTGTTTATTTGGCTGGAATGTGGGTGAGGAAGAAGTTATATGTGAATTAAAAGAAACATTGTCTCAATGTCACATGTTAAATTAAATTAAATTACAGGCAGAACTAAGCGAGTTTACGATTGCTGCCGCTGGGAGCAGAGACTATTTTCAGCTTACATTTATAACAGAAGGAGGGATTTAAAATATAGTATTATGCCTACCCTGATACAGCTAACCTCCT
The DNA here is from genome assembly GCF_000001405.40 of Homo sapiens. Taxonomy (NCBI): domain Eukaryota; kingdom Metazoa; phylum Chordata; class Mammalia; order Primates; family Hominidae; genus Homo; species Homo sapiens. The sequence goes on along the minus strand of NC_000009.12, from coordinate 39,282,000 downwards.
CCACCCGCCCCTCCACACACATACAGCTACATGCTTACCCTCGAACTATGAAAGAAGGGTGTCTCTCAGGCATCCTATATTTAACCCAGCTTTGGACACGTCCCTGGAGTCTAGTCTTTTTGAACACAGCAGTGAAGATAAGGAATGGGGAGGGGGCTTTGATTTCAAGACCACTAGATATAGTAGATTCCTAATTTAATTTCAAAGACAAATCAATTATTAACACAAATACAAAGAGAACAGTATTTTAAGCAAAGCTTCTGTTGTGGCAGATAACCTTTTAAGGTGTCTCCCAGTTGGGTTTCTATTTTAGATGACTTTTTGAAGAATATATCTCTGTAATAGAAATATGTTTGATGATTCTCATCTTTAAGAACTTCACATTTGCTATAATTAAGATATTTATGAATTTATTGTAAGAAGATTGGTAGAAAAAGTAATGCAACATCAAATGGGAAAATAAATATATAATATTATATAGCTGTTCAAATATAGGGTTTATGATTCTTGAGCTAATTTGAACTGCTGTACAACACCAGGAGAAAAGTCCACAGCTGTGTTAAGAAAGCTCTTATAAGCTTATGAAATTTTATAGCACAGGCTGTCACAGAACCTACAATTTACAAACATTTGTAAAAGTTAGGAAAGTTTTGGGTTCCTCAATAGAAAATGATGTTGCTTAGCTTTAAGAAAGTAACTAATTTATCTCTTTTTATTCTTGTCCACTAACAAAGGAACCCAAATGGTCTTTTAAAATTATAATAAAACTAAGCTAGTAAAATATCACATAGATTTTGAGATACTGTGAATAACCATAGAAAATAACAATTTGTTGTTCTTCATGTATAAAAATAAGCTTAACATGCTTATCAATACATCTTGAACCATAAGAGATTTATTTCAGCAGTGTTGCCAAAGGGCAAGCAATGCCTGCTGCCCGTAGAAAACTTTGAATTCCCTAAGCTCAGGGCTCCTCACTTGTCATGTAACCCACTGCGTGTGCACACATCCATCTGTGCCCATCCATATTCCCCCAGAGGACTTGGAGGCAAGGAAATTGATGCAAATATGCTGATGCTCATATTGTTTGCTATGCTGTAAGTAATACAGTCCTTTGCTTTGACCCAGGAGTCTTCTGCCGCAACGATGAAACAAACTGGCAGACTCATTTGTTAGCTTGCAAGTAGGGTAAAATCTCTCCTCACGGTTCTTCACAGTGTACTTGTCTGTGCAATGGTCATCTTCTTCATGAATATAATTATAACATGATATAAGAAATAGTGAGCTCTTACCTATAGATAAGCAAACATTGCAATATAAAAATAGCATATGTTATTTCATAAATCACAGTTGACACATTCTAGAGAAGAGATTGGGCAGCCTTTTTTGGATGTCACAGTTGATTCTACTGTCCTCATTTCTTCTTCTCTTTTCTGGGATATGAGGAAGAATTGCTGTGACAAAGCTCATCTCCTGGGTGGCCAGGGTTGATTGTCAATTTGTTTTGTTCTTGGAAGGCTAGGCAGATGTCCTCTACCTCCTTCTTTATGCCATGTGACGTTCATCCCTTTGATTTTCCTGTTGCATTTTATTTAGTATTTTAGAATACTGCCCACATTCCATTCTGGAAAGTCCACTCTCCCAGCCAGAGTTTTCTTAGACAGCTGAGCCTGTGATGGGCGTTTGTGCAGGTAGCCTCTTTTAGAAAGTGAGCTCATAAAAGAGGGAAGAATGGAATAGAGAAGAAAAATCCACCAAAAGGGGGTGTCATTGAGCTGGTCACTTCTGTGAGCAACTGGGGCATGAACTCCCTGGGAAGCTCTCAGGAAGCCGGTAGAATGTGTTTCACAGCTGTGCCTCTGAGAGACAGCAGGGGGAATGCATTTATCCCAAGTCCTGTCCAGGGATTCAGCACTGCCCTTGGGGCGCTAACTCCTGGCTCTAAGGAGAGGAATATGAATGAATGGGTTGCGACTGGGTTTCTGCAGGCATCACAGAGGCCAAGAGACAGAGAACTCGAACACTGAACTTTTTAATTTTTTATTATTTTATTATTATTATACTTTAAGTTATAGGGTACATGTGCACAACGTGCAGGTTTGTTACATATGTATACATGTGCCATGTTGGTGTGCTGCACCCATTAACTAGTCATTTAGCATTAGGTATATCTCCTAATGCTATCCCTCCCCCGTACCCCCACCCCACGACAGTCCCCGTTGTGTAATGTTCCCCTTCCTGTGTCCATGTGTTCTCATTGTTCAGTTCCCACCTATGAGTGAGAACATGTGGTGTTTGGTTTTTTGTCCTTGCGATAGTTTGCTGAGAATGATGGTTTCCAGCTTCATCCATGTCCCTACAAAGGACATGAACTCATCATTTTTTATGGCTGCATAGTATTCCATGGTGTATATGTGCCACATTTTCTTAATCCAGTCTATCATTGATTGACATTTGGGTTGGTTCCAAGTCTTGTTATTGTGAATAGTGCTGCAATAAACATACGTGTGCATGTGTCTTTATAGCAGCATGATTTATAATCCTTTGGGTATATACCCAGTAATGGGATGGCTGGGTCAAATGGTATTTCTAGTTCTAGATCCCTGAGGAATTGCCACACCGACTTCCACAATGGTTGTACTAGTTTACAGTCCCACCAACAGTGTAAAAGTGTTCCTATTTCTCCACATCCTCTCCAGCACCTGTTGTTTCCTGACTTTTTAATGATTGTCATTCTAACTGGTGTGAGATGGTATCTCATTGTGGTTTTTGATTTGCATTTGATTGCCAGTGGTGATGAGCATTTTTTCATGTGTTTTTTGGCTGCATGGATGTCTTCTTTTGAGAAGTGTCTGTTCATATCCTTTGCCCACTTTTTGATGGGATTGTTGGTTTTTTTCTTGTAAATTTGTTTGAGTTCATTGTAGATTCTGGATATTAGCCCTTTGTCAGATGAGTAGGTTGCAAAAATTTCCTCCCATTCTGTAGGTTGCCTGTTCACTCTGATTGTAGTTTCTTTTGCTCTGTAGAAGCTCTTTAGTTTAATTAGATCCCATTTGTCAATTTTGGCTTTAGTTGCCATTGCTTTTGGTGTTTTAGACATGAAGTCCTTGCCCATGACTGTGTCCTGAATGGTATTGCCTAGGTTTTCTTCTAGGGTTTTTATGGTTTTAGGTCTAACATTTAAGTCTTTAATCCATCTTGAATTAATTTTTGTATAAGGTGTAAGGAAGGGATCCAGTTTCAGCTTTCTACTTATGGCTAGCCAGTTTTCCCAGCACCGTTTATTAAATAGGGAATCCTTTCCCCAATGCTTATTTTTGTCAGGTTTCTCAAAGATCAGATAGTTGTAGATATGCGGCATTATTTCTGAGGGCTCTGTTCTGTTCTGTTCTATATCTCTGTTTTGGTACCAGTACCATGCTGTTTTGGTTACTGTAGCCTTGTAGTATAGTTTGAAGTCAGGTAGTGTGATGCCTCCAGGTTTGTTCTTTTGGCTTAGGATTGACTTGGCAATGCGGGCTCTTTTTTGGTTCCAAATGAACTTTAAAGTAGTTTTTTCCAATTCTGTGAATAAAGTCATTGGTAGCTTGATGGGGATGGCATTGAATCTATAAATTACCTTGGGCAGTATGGCCATTTTCATGATACTGATTCTTCCTACCCATGAGCATGGAATGTTCTTTCGTTTGTTTGTATCCTCTTTTATTTCCTTGAGCAGTGGTTTGTAGTTCTCCTTGAAGAGGTCCTTCACATCCCTTGTAAGTTGGATTCCTAGGTATTTTATCCTCTTTGAAGCAATTGTGAATGGGAGTTCACTCATGATTTGGCTCTCTGTTTGTCTGCTATTGGTGTATAAGAATGCTTGTGATTTTTGCACATTGATTTTGTATCAAATCAAGATACAAAATCTTGAATTTGAGATTTTGCTGAAGTTGCTTATCAGGTTAAGGAGATTTTGGGCTGAGACGATGGGGTTTTCTAGATATACAATCATGTCATCTGCAAACAGGGACAATTTGACTTCCTCTTTTCCTAATTGAATGCCCTTTATTTCCTTCTCCTGCCTGATTGCCCTGGCCAGGACTTCCAACACTATGTTGAATAGGAGTGATGAGAGAGGGCATCCTGTCTTGTGCCAGTTTTCAAAGGGAATGCTTCCAGTTTTTGTCCATTCAGTATGATATTGGCTGTGGGTTTGTCATAGATAGCTCTTATTATTTTGAGATAGGTGCCATCAATACCTAATTTGTTGAGAGTTTTTAGCATGAAGCGTCTTTGAATTTTGTCAAAGGCCTTTTCTGCATCTATTGAGATAATCATGAGGTTTTTGTCTTTGGTTCTGTGTATATGCTGGATTACGTTTATTGATTTTCGTATGTTGAACCAGCCTTGCGTCCCAGGGCTGAAGCCCACTTGATCATGGTGGATAAGCTTTTTGATGTGTTGCTGCATTCGGTTTGCCAGTATTTTATTGAGGATTTTTGCATCAATGTTCATCAAGGATATTGGTCTAAAATTCTCTTTTTTGGTTTTGTCTCTGCCAGGCTTTGGTATCAGGATGATGCTGGCCTCATAAAATGAGTTAGGGAGGATTCCCTCTTTTTCTGTTGATTGGAATAGTTTCAGAAGGAATGGTACCAGTTCCTCCTTGTACCTCTGGTAGAATTGGGCTTGTGAATCCATCTGGTCCTGGACTTTTTTTGGTTGGTAAGCTATTACTTATTACCTCAATTTCAGAGCCTGTTATTGGTCTATTCAGAGATTCATCTTCTTCCTGGTTTAGTCTTGGGAGGATGTATGTGTTGAGGAATTTATCCATTTCTTCTAGATTTTCTAGTTTATTTGCGTAGAGGTGTTTATAGTATTCTCTGATGGTAGTTTGTATTTCTGTGGGATTGGTGGTGATATCCCCTTTGTCATTTTTTATTATGTCTATTTGATTCTTCTCTCTTTTCTTCTTTATTAGTCTTGCTAGCGGTCTATCAATTTTGATGATCTTTTCAAAAAAACCAGCTCTTGGATTCATTGATTTTTTGAAGGGTTTTTTTGTGTCTCTATTTCCTTCAGTTCTGCTCTGATCTTAGTTATTTCTTGCCTTCTGCTAGCTTTTGAATGCGTTTGCTCTTGCTTCTCTGGTTCTTTTAATTGTGATGTTAGGGTGTCAATTTTAGATCTTTCCTGCTTTCTCTTGTGGGCATTTAGTGCTATAAATTTCCCTCTACACACTGCTTTAAATGTGTCCCAGAGATTCTGGTATGTTGTGTGTTTGTTCTCGTTGGTTTCAAAGAACATCTTTATTTCTGCCTTCATTTCTCAATGTACCCAGTAGTCATTCAGGAGCAGGTTGTTCAGTTTCCATGTAGTCGAGCGGTTTTGAGTGAGTTTCTTAATCCTGAGTTCTAGTTTGATTGCACTGTGGTCTGAGAGACAGTTTGTTATAATTTCTGTTCTTTTACATTTGCCGAGGAGTGCTTTACTTCCAACTATGTGGTCAATTTTGGAGTAAGTGTGATGTGGTGCTAAGAAGAATATATATTCTGTTGATTTGGGGTGGAGAGTTCTGTAGATGTCTATTAGGTCTGCTTGGTGCAGAGCTGAGTTCAATTCCTGGATATCCTTTTTAACTTTCTGTCTCGTTGATCTGTCTGTTGTTGACAGTGGTGTGTTAAAGTCTCCCATTATTATTGTGTGGAAGTCTAAGTCTGTTTGTACGTCTCTAAGGACTTGCTTTATGAGTCTGGGTGCTCCTGTACTGGGTGCGTATATATTTAGGATATTTAACTCTTCTTGTTGAATTGATCCCTTTACCATTATGTAATGGCCTTCTTTGTCTCTTTTGATCTTTGTTGGTTTAAAGTCTGTTTTATCAGAGACTAGGATTCCAGCCCCTGCTTTTTTTTTGTTTTCCCTTTGCTTGGCAGACCTTCCTCCATACCTTTATTTTGAGCCTATGTGTGTCTCTGCACGTGAGCAGGGTCTGCTGAGTACAGCACACTGATGGGTCTTGACTTTTTATCCAATTTGCCACTCTGTGTCTTTTAATTGGAGGATTTAGCCTATTTACATTTAAGGTTAATATTGTTATGTGTGAATTTGATCCTGTCATTATGATGTTAGCTGGTTATTTTGCTCATTAGTTGATGCAGTTTCTTCCTAGCCTTGATAGTCTTTACAATTTGGCATGTTTTTGCGGTGGCTGGTACTGGTTGTTCCTTTCCATGTTTAGTGCTTCCTTCAGGAGCTCTTGTAAGGCAGGCCTGGTGGTGACAAAATCTCTCAGCATTTGCTTGTCTGTAAAGGATTTTATTTCTCCTTCAGTTATGAAGCTTAGTTTGGCTGGATGTGAAATTCTGGGTTGAAAATTCTTTTCTTTCAGAATGTTGAATATTGGCCCCCACTCTCTTCTGGCTTGTAGAGTTTCTGCCGAGAGATCCACTGTTAGTCTGATGGGCTTCCCTTTGTGAGTAACCCGACCTTTCTCTCTGGCTGCCCTTAACATTTTTTCCTTCATTTCAACTTTGGGGAATCTGACAATTATGTGTCTTGGAGTTGGTCTTCTCGAGGAGTATCTTTGTGGCATTCTCTGTATTTCCTGAATTTGAATGTTGGCCTGCCTTGCTAGGTTGGGGAAGTTCTCCTGGATAATATCCTGCAGAGTGTTTTCCAACTTGGTTCCTTTCTCCCTGTCACTTTCAGTTACACCAATCAGACGTAGATTTGGTCTTTTCACAGTCACATATTTCTTGGAGGCTTTGTTCGTTTCTTTTTACTCTTTTTTCCCTAAACTTCTTTTCTCGCTTCATTTCATTCATTTGATCTTCAATCACTGATACCCTTTCTTCCAGTTGATCGAATTGGCTACTGAAGCTTGTGCATGTGTCATGTAGTTCTCGTGGTTTTCAGCTCCATCAGGTCATTTAAGGTCTTCTCTACGCTGTTTATTCTAGTTAGCCATTCGTCTAATCCTTTTTCAAGGTTTTTAGCTTCTTTGCGATGGGTTCGAACATCCTCCTTTAGCTCGGAGAAGTTTGTTATTACCGATCATCTGAAACCTTCTTCTCTCAACTCGTCAAAGTCATTCTCCATCCAGCTTTGTTCCGTTGCTGGCGAGGAGTTGCGTTCCTTTGGAGGAGAAGAGGTGCTCTGATTTTTAGAATTTTCAGCTTTTCTGCTCTGGTTTCTCCCCATCTTTGTGGTTTTATGTACCTTTGGTCTTTGATGGTGGTGACGTACAGATGGGGTTTTGTGTGGTTGTCCTTTCTGTTTGTTAGTTTTCCTTCTAAGAGTCAGGACCCTCAGCTGTAGGTCTGTTGGAGTTTGCTGGAGGTCCAGTCCAGACCCTGTTTGCCTGGGCATCACCAGCGGAGGCTGCAGAACAGCAAATATTGCAGAATGGCAAATGTTACTGTCTGATTCTTCCTCTGGAAGCTTCGTCTCAGAGGGGCACCTGGCTGTATGCGGTGTCAGTCAGCCCCTACTGGGAGGTGTCTCCCAGTTAGGCTACTCAGGGGTCAGGGACCCACTTAAGGAGGCAGTCTTTCCATTCTCAGATCTCAAACTCCATGCTGGGAGAACCACTACTGTCACCAAAGCTCAGTCGGAAATTCAGAAATCACCTGTCTTCTGCATCATCCATGCTGGGAGCTGTAGACTGGAGCTGTTCCTATTCGACCATCTTGGATCCAGACCTGTCTATTTTCTTAGCCTTATGAGCTTTGTCAAGAGAGTGCAGCTTCTTCTGGTTTTTCTTATGAGTATACAAATATCTCTTTGATTGCATTTAGCAATGTTTGAAAGTCTTAATTTGTTCTGGGCTTTAACTTACTTTGCTTTATATTGCCTCCTTTTAATGTTCCTTTTCATTGTAAGTATTCCTTTTTTTTTTTCCGGTATGGAGTCTTGCTCTGTCACCTAGGCTGGAGAGCAGTGGCACAATCTTGGCTCACTGCAACCTCCGCCTCCTGGGTTCCAGTGATTCTCCTGCCTCAGCCTCCCGAGTAGCTGGGATTGCAAGTTCCCGCTACCATGCCCAGCTAATTTTTGTATTTTTACTAGAGATGAAGTTTCACCATGTTGGCCAGGCTCGTCTCAAACTCCTGACCTTGTGATCCGCCCATCTTGGCCACTGTGCCCAGCCTCACTGTAAATATTCTTTCCTTGGTTACTTTGCCCATTTCTCTCTTCTTCAGTGGAACATGTTTTTTCTGGATTTCATTTGGGTAGCTTTTCACATTTGATGAACGATGTTGTCCTCAATCATAACAACAGTGTCTCTTTGTATAGTGGTTGCTCGGAGGTCTACAAGGTAGTATTATGTAACATTTCCCATTGTGTTCTAAATACTCTTATCTTTTTAAGTTAAAAAATTGAAGTCAAAGCTGCCTCTAAAGTCACACACATAGCTTGAAATAATAGAGTTGAAATTTGGACATAAAACATATTGCCATGGGATAATGCCTGCTGTTTTCCTAAAGTTTTAAAATTATCTTTTTGACATCTCAAATAAACATTTGTCTATTGACAGGGCTCCTTCCTTGGGCACAATAAATTCTAAGATGTTCTGGTTATTATTTTCTCAAGGATTCTGACACTGCCCCCTTACTAATCATATTAGAGCCAAGTACGGAGTAGTGAACAAGTTCTGATAATTTGCAGGTATATTACTTTGGGCTGAAAAAAATCTAGCTGATGTCATTGGTCTTGTTGGGATCTGTCTTCAGAATGCAATTGGAGTGCATCTCTTAACCCTTACTTAAGTATCACTGAAGTTCTCTTTCTTCAGCTCCCAGATGCTCCGTAGCCTGCTCTGGCCTGTGAGGTCATGACGTCCCTTTAAGATGTTATAAGTTGAACACAGTCTTCTTTCCATCCCTCTGTAACATGTCTTGGGAAGAAGCCATATCCTTCTCATACCTTACATTCTCATTCAGACGCTAGTTCTGTCAACTCTCAGAGGTGCATAGAAAGAATTATTATTATTTTTAATTTTTTTAGCTTTTAATTTTGTGGTTACATAGTAGGTGTATATATCGATGGGCTACATGAGATGTTTTGATACAGGCATGCAATGTGAAATAAGTGCATCAAGAAAAATGGAGTATCCATCCCCTCACGCAATTATCCTTTGAGTTGCAAACAATCCAATTACACTCTTTAAGTTATTTAAAAATGTACAATTAAGTAATTATTGACTATAGTCACCTCTTGTGTTATCAAATACTGGGTGTTATTCATTTTTTCTATTTTTTTGTACCCGTGGAAAGATCATTTATTGCCCTTTATTAGCAGCTCATCTTTATCACTTATATTCCCACAGCTGTGGATACATTCGTAATAACAATTATTAGTGATGACATCTCCACATGATTTTCTTTTTAAATTATATGCACCTGTGTTGTTGTATTTTTTTCTGTGTCGTGTCTGATGTCTTTCTGCAGGACTTAATTTTGTTATTTGGTTTCCTCTCTTTCTACTTAGCAGTAAGTCTCAAAAAAATAGGTTCATCTTATTCTCATATTATATACTTTAGCCAAAAATCTATAGTTTAAAAATAGGTATTGAATTTATCACAGAAGTATAATTTAACTACATAGCAAGAAATTTAGAAATAAAAGGAAAGAGAACAAGATCATCTATTCAGCTTCCTCAGGGAAAAGGAGCTGATCTATGTTTAATCCCTTCTGTGTTTCCAGAGCTGTGTTTGTTGGATTTAACACCCATTATCTCATCTCAATCCAGCAGATCTCTTTGTCCATTATCTTCTCATATGCAGATTTTCCCATCCCATCTCCTTCATCTCTCCACATGTTTAAATAGTTCTTATATTTATTGTTGTAATGACTGTAGAGTAGATCATCAAATTAAGATGCTTAAATTTATGTAAACTTGAGCGGGCATGGTGGCTCACGCCTGTAATCCCAGCACTTTGGGAGGCTGAGGCAGGCGGGTCACGAGGTCAGGAGATCGATACCATCCTGGCTAACATGGTGAAACCCCGTGTCTACTAAAAATACAAAAAAAAATTAGCCTGGGCAACAGGGCAAGGCTCCGTCTCAAAAAAAAAAAAAAAAAAAAAACTATGTAAACTTTCCTCTAGGTCTTCATTTGTGTTGTGTCTTTTGTAGTTCTCATAGAATAAAGTCCTTGGTCCTGGTATGTTAAAATTGGTATGCTGTTGTTATAACTTTATATTTGTAGTGCTGTAAGTCACTTGAAAACACCAATGTCAGGAGGTATTCAATGTTCCTATGCTAGGTTTTCTTTAACAAGTCAAAATATCATCTGGAAGGAGAGACAACGTGTAACCCCTATCTCCTACCCCCTGTAAATTCTAATTTATAGAATTTAAACCTGTTTCTATGTGTCTTCTTCCAGGCCTCATCTGTTCCCACAGGTAGACTGTAGGAATTGTCTGTCATGTCCCGGGAACCAGACACTCATCAGCTGGTCATGCCAGCCTCTCTTCCTCACCCCAGAATCATCAGTCAGCAGGCAAGGCTCCTTTCTCGGGAGTGAGGTTCTCCTGTTCCCTCTCATCCCCATCTGCCGCCACACGTGGCTGCTGTGTGGCTCCCCGTGAGTGAGGTGCTGCTCCTTCTCCAGAGGTGTAATTCATTTTCCATGAGACAGACCTCAGTATTTCAGAAGAGTAAGCCTTACTGGGGCCTTCACACATGTGAGAAGCCTTCAGAGCAGAGACAAAACTTGAGTTGAGCCCTGAAGATAATAAGTGATGGGAACTCGCAGACAGGAGGGGCTGCAATGTCATCGGGTGAGCGGTCAAGGAGCGTTGGTGCATGCATCCCACATTCAGGAAACAGTGAGAAGACCACTCCGATTAAAGGAGGAAGCACATCTGAGAAATGTGTAGGGGATTTGGCTGTAGTGCAGAGAGTGACAGGAAACAGGCGATGGAAGGAATTGAATGCCAGGACCTGAAATTTGAATTTCAGGACAGGTGCAGTGGGGATCCATTGGAGCTGGTTGATATGGCTGTTTGTGTGACTTGCACTCAGCAATAGTTTAAAACCGTTTCTGCTCTGGTGATACGTAAGGTGTGTGTGTGGCTGGGGACAGTCAATAAGGAAGCATTGGCTGTAAGGATTAGTTAGGTCGTTAACATGAGGACCTACAGTGAGATGATGATCATGATAATGGAAAAGCTGCCATATACACACAAAAAGTACATAATCCTTGGCAATTTATTGGCTGTAGAGGGAAGATAAGGGTGGGGGCTCAGGACAGTGTACTTATTGAGCATTTTTCAGTTTCAGGTGACCAGAATCTAAGATCAAATAGACTTGAACAATAAAGGGAACCAAAGTGTCTTGATTGAAGCCAGGCTGAATTTAGGCAATCAGATTCTTTCATCAGCAGTCTGCCTCTTTCCTTCTTGCAGTTTTATTTTCGTCTACAACTGGCCTCATTCTTGGGCAGCTCTGTCTATGCCATAGCTTCAGGCATACCGTTTACCAGCTTAGAAGCGTGACTGTTTTCCTTTATTTCTGTTCTTAGCAATGTTGAGTTCTACAGATATTATGCCTTTATTTGTTTATTCTACTCAGTAGGATAAGCTTCACAGGAGCAGAGACTTTTTCTGTTGTTTATGGTTATATCCCCAGAACATAGGGGCACACCTGGCACAGTATAGATTTTCAACAAATATTTGTTGAATGAATGAATGGGTATTTCTCCCAAGAGTTCAAGCCGAAAGTCCCAGGTTCTGCTGTTATTCATTCGAAAGTCCCAGGTTCTGTTCCCATTCATTCAGCATGGGCTTCCTGACCATCCTGGAACCAGTCCTTTCCAGTAGGACAGGCATGGCATTCAGTTGCCAGGCCTGAGGCGTGTCCCTGTGCTGGCCCCAGGTGGTAGGGTGAGCCCCCTTCAGACCCCATGGAGTGAGATGTAGGGAAGACAGTGACTGAAGATAATCGAATGGAGATCAAGACCATGTAAAACAGAAGTTTTTATATGGAAAAAAGTAGATTTTTACATTGACCATTACTGCTTATGTTCACTGTGAGTAAAATGTGCTTTTTCCGAAGCATTCCCTCTAGATAGCAATGCACAGATCAATTCAGATTCATAACAAGATGAACTTTTGGTACCTTCTAAATAAAAGCTTTATTTAACCTCTCATTAAGATAATGTTAAGGTACATTAAGAACTGAAAAGACAGGTGATGAAATGGGAAGAATGGAATAGCGCCGTATCCAGATGAACATCCAGACGTGGCCTGAAGAAGGTATGGGCACCCCCTTCCCTGTTTGTGATTCGATTCCCGAGGCCGTGCTCCCTACTGACTCAATATGTGGAACCAGAGAGAAGCCTGCTGTGGAGTTAGTGAATTTGACCTAATCGAGACAGTCTGAGAAAGGACAGGAATCTTTTTTTTTCTTTTTTTTTTTTTTTTAGAACAAAGAGGTTTTCTATACATCTGTGATAACACAGTAACCATCTGTTGAACTCTTTAATAGTAGGCTTTGTGTTTTTCTGATAATTCGAAGGTGGTTAAGGTGCCGTCCCCTCATATTAGCAGTTCGGTGGCCCCTTCCCCTCTCCTTCCATCCTTAGGTTCCGCCAACACAGTGGTTAGCTCCTTTCACAGTGAGGAGCAAGTGCAGCCACAAGCATGGGGAGAGCCACAGCCTGGCAGAGTGGCTTAGCATCACGAAGCCCTTCTGAGAAGGAATTGAGTATCTGTGTGATTCAAAGGGATGTTAATCGTATTTTCGTTGGAACTCTCCTGCATTTCCCCTAAAATATCCAATATGTAATTCCATATAAACAGTGTGTTCATTTCCTATGGCCCTTGTGAGAATTGACCATAAACTGGCTGACTTAAAGCAAAAGAATTTATTCTGTCATAGTCTGGAGACCAGAAGTTCCGCATCAGTATCCCTAGTCCAAAATCAAGATGGGCCACACTCCCTACGGAGGCTCTAGGGGGACATCCATTCTTCGTTTCTTCCGGCTTCCTGTGGTTGCCCGTGTGCCTCACCTTGTGGGTGCCTCACTCCATTTTCACACCCTCTTCTCTTTTGTGTGGGGCTCTGTTCATCCTCACCTTTATCTCTCTTACAAGGGCAGTTCTGATGGTATTTAAGACCCAGCCAGATAATTCAAGATAATTTCCTCGTCTCAGGGTCTTTGATCACATCTGGAGAACCTTACCTTCTGAAGTAACCTTCACAGGGTCCCGGGATTGGGGCATAGACATATCTTTGGGAGCCACTGTCAGCCTGTCCTAACACATGTAAGATTCATCTCTGATAAAGGCATTCAACCACAAGTGCAGTGTGGTTTGGTCTTTTAATAAAATCCTTTAAGTAATACTGTAATGAATTCGGAGCTCCATCCGGAGATGCCAGGAGGTGTCCTCATTTGAATGTAAAGCTCCTCCCCATAGCATCAGTTGTCACCCCTCCTTTTGGCTTTTCCCATTTCCTCTGCAGATACGGACAAAATCTGTCCATGTATTATACATGCATTCTTTTTTTTTTCATTCTTATTATCAGATCCCAGAATAATGAATTGCTGTTTGAAAATGCATGGTTTATGTTTATCTTTTCCAGAAGCACTTTTATACGCATCTCTCCCTAGTAGTGTTTGCTCTTTCAGAGGCTGGTTTTGTTCCTAAGCAATTAAGATGCTTCCCTGTGTTTTGGAATAAATAGTAGTATCTAAATATTTTGCTCTTCTGTTTATTTCCTATAACAGATATTTACACATCTCCCTCCCATGTTAGATTCTGGACTTCTTGAACCTAGAACCATGTCTCTCTTTATGCCCCATAATGCTTTGCACATGGTAGGTGCTCAATACACTTTTATTAAATAAGTGCAAGAATTAACATACTCAAATGAAATGCTGTTTTGAAAAGTATATCATCTCTGTCTTAGGTAAGGGCAATTCCTCAAATTGATTTTTTAATCATTTCATATTCATGTGGTAAAAATTGTCGTAAACTAGCACATCTGTGAATGCAATGTTGATTTGTATACAGGAAGCCCTTAGGCTAATTTTAATCTTCTGCTGTCTTTCATGAACATAATACTAAGAAATGGTTTCTGTCCCAAACCCTTCATAGGCACCATGCTGGGAATCACAAAGCATGCTGGGAATACTTGTCAAGGAGAAGTGGGAAGCTAAGAGTGATGCCAGGCAGGGGTCAGGGGACAAATCAAGACCATAGAGTGGGGAGAGAGGAACCTAGGCAGAGCTAATCGCCGAGACTAAATCAACAAGCCTAGGGAAGTGCAGCAAGCCAGAAACCCTCTGGTCTAGCGTGATTTGGAAAGGCAGAGCAAGTTCCTGCAATGCTCAAGTTATCAGGCAAAAAGGAGGAGCCTCCATCTCCTGTAGGCAAGTAGCCCGCAGTGATTCCCTCTGGAGGGGTCTACAGAGTGGGCTTTTTCCAGTTCATCACTACAGGTGTTGCCTTTCATGGGTCCTGGCTTCACGCAGGTAACTCTGACCTGAACACCTGGTGCATTTCACTTTTCCCATCCCCCACAGGTTCTGTGCTGGGGCACTGTGAGAATTTCTAGCCGCTATTGAGGTTTGGGCACACAATTCACACTACCTCTGTGTGTGTGTACCTAAAGAACCTAAGCATCAAATTGAGTTTAAAGTAGTGTTGGATGGGTGATGTACCCAGACATCTTGCAGAATTGAGAAAATGTGGGACATTAGGGAACTTTGAGGGCTAATGGACCTGTTTTATGTCTTCATTATGGTGGAGGTTACAAGGCTGAATGCATTTGTCAAAATGAATAGAGCTGTACACTTTAAAAACATCAAATAAATTCTCTGGAATTTTACTCTCTGTAAATTATACTGCAATGTAAATTTTAAAAATTGTAAAAAATTAAAAAAGGAGTGATGATTGCCATACATCCTAGAATATATTCATATATATTTTTGGACTATTATTTCTCCCAAGCTGCAATCTGAGTGTTAACCATATCACGGTATTTTTCCCGGCAGCTGACTGTGATGCCCCACTGGCCTCTGCCTTGCCTAGGTCATCCTTCAGCAGCTCCTCAGAGCTGTCCAGCAGCCACGGCCCGGGGTTTTCAAGGCTTAATCGAAGAGATGGTGAGTCTGCCTTTTTCCTTGTATTGCTCCTTGGTGACTCTCATTGGATTTTCATTTAACAAAATAATTATAATTCATTTAACAAAATAATTATAATTATAATTATAATTGATTATTACTTTGCAGAAGGAAGTAAAATTCAGAATAAGCATATTTGTTCACATTTGAAACTCCAAGAATGTATTTGACAGGAATAAGTTGATCACTTCGGCTTTCTGGTCCTGCTGGGTTTCCCTTGGTACGATCTTTGTGTGCCTTGAACATGTCACACCTGACTTTGACAGTGTTTGAACTCTTTGTATACCCCTTGCAATATCTGAGTATTATTTATCGAAGACCTTAGATTCTGTCATGTCCTTTTTTTTACCTTGGATTCTTTTGTTCTGCCACAGTATACATTTTGTTGTCCCAGATTATTTAATTATCCCTATTTGGATGAGAAAATTGGCAAAGTAAAGAAGCGTCTAAAAAGATTTTTATTATGTTTTAACTACAACTCTTAGTTTATTTCTTATTATGGCGGACTTGATTCTCTCCTTAGCATCCACTGTAGAGAAATAACCATGTAAAATGGTTTATTCATGCTCCACTGTGACTATTCTTTTGTGTGGGGCTCTGTTCATCCTCACCTTTATCTCTCTTACAAGGGCAGTTCTGATGGTATTTAAGACCCAGCCAGATAATTCAAGATAATTTCCTCGTCTCAGGGTCTTTGATCACATCTGGAGAACCTTACCTTCTGAAGTAACCTTCACAGGGTCCCGGGATTGGGGCATAGACATATCTTTGGGAGCCACTGTCAGCCTGTCCTAACACATGTAAGATTCATCTCTGATAAAGGCATTCAACCACAAGTGCAGTGTGGTTTGGTCTTTTAATAAAATCCTTTAAGTAATACTGTAATGAATTCGGAGCTCCATCCGGAGATGCCAGGAGGTGTCCTCATTTGAATGTAAAGCTCCTCCCCATAGCATCAGTTGTCGCCCCTCCTTTTGGCTTTTCCCATTTCCTCTGCAGATACGGACAAAATCTGTCACCCAGGCTGGAGTGCGGTGGTGCAATCTCAGCTCACCGCAAGCTCTGCCTCCTGGGTTCACGCCATTCTCCTGCCTCAGCCTCCCAAGTAGCTGGGACTACAGGCACCCGCCACCAGGCCCGACTAATTTTTTGTATTTTTTTTTTTTTTTAGTAGATACGGGGTTTCACCATGTTAGCCAAGGTGGTCTGGATCTCCTCACCTCCTGATCCATCCACCTCGGCCTCCTGAAGTGATAGGATTATAGGCGTGAGCCTGTAACCGCGCCCAGCCTTTTTTTTTTTTTTAACTCCCTGTTGCATTTCTTGGTGTTTTCTGTATTTGAGCACATTTAATGCATTGCACATTGGACCAAATAAATATGTTCTGGCATTTGTTATAGGCAGTATGGCTATGAAACATGAACAACTTAACTTTTTGTTTTTCTGTTTATGTTTCTTAAGTCTGTGATTTCATTTGTTGCAGAGATATGGGCTCTGTTTTGTTACTTTAGATTCTATTGCTGCAGAGCCTCAGTGGATGGTCATTATCACTGAAACAGTGACTAAGCCTGGGCACAGGGGGTAAAGGAAAACAAGAGCAATCTCAAGCCATAGCTCTTCTTGATGTCAAATCATATTTTGTACTAAAGTACATGATTATGAGGATTCTTTATCATAGGGATCATTTTTATTCTTAGTTCATGTTCCTGTAACTCCTCGTGCAAAAAAGCATGATATCAATCTTAATAAAATTTATTTTCATGTTAATGAAGTTAGAAAAACAGGCTTACTTTAGTTAGCTATCAACTGAGTTTATTACAAATTCATTGTTGTTGCTTTTTTTAATTGGTTTTGACTTTTTTCTTCTCCCTCATGGTAGCCTGGAGTATTCATCAAAGGAGTTCCAAATTGGGAGTGATTTATTGAAGGCTATAGATTATCTCTAGTGTTTTATTATCCTTTATTAGATTCAGAATGGTCTATGGAAGAGTGACTGAACAAATGTTCTGATCATAAATAATTAAACTAACAAATAATGACCCCCTGTCTCAGACATTAAAGCCTTTCTCCAGTGGAGTGTAAAGATCTCAGAGCTAAAAATTAACAGGCAGAAAACAAGTAGTTTCCCTGTTGTGCAGCCCAGTGCCTTGTACCCATGTGATGGGAAGACGCCATGGAAACAGCTGCGATAGTTACTCAAGCCTTAGCCTGAGGGGTGAGAGGGGAACAAGGTAGCTATGCATCCCGTCTGTCCCAGTGTAAAGAATCAAAATGGACTTTTTGGAGGTGTCTTTCTTCATGCCTCTTGGATACCACAAGTAAACTAGTTCTTCCATGCCACTAAATGATGAACCCATGGGCCAAACAAGTTAATGCACTTTTATAAGCAACTTATTTAATTCCCTTTAATGGGGAAGACTCAGTTTTTCCACCAAAGGTTTCATAAGTTATGAAGCATAATCCAGAATTACTTTCAACTTGTAAAAATGTATTATCATGAATATTGCACAGATTGGATTATAACTAATTAAATATGTTTTTGCTTTCTACATCTTCATAGTTAGAATTTCAGTATAACCTCTAACATGGTATTGGCTAATTTGAGGATAAAGTGACCTGTTGTAAATTTATTTATTTATTTATTTATTTATTTATTTATTTATCGAGATGGAGTCTTGCTGTGTTGCCAGGCTGGAGTGCAGTGGTGCAATCTCGGCTCACTGCAAGCTCCACCTCCTGGGCTCAAGTGATTCACCTGCCTCAGCCTCCCGAGTAGCTGGGACTGCAGGTGCCCGCCACCACACCAGGCTAATTTTTGTATTTTTAGTAGAGGAGGGGTTTCACCATGCTGGCCCAGATGGTCTCAATCTCCTGACCTCGTGGTCTGCCCGCCTCGGCCTCCGAAAGGCGTGAGCCACCGCGCCTGGCCGACCTGTTGTAAATTTAAGAGGCTAAGGGTCAGTGTGCATTTCTACACCTTTCACATTGCATCACTTGAAGCTAAGAAGAACTCTGTGGTATATTACATGTAAAAATAAGACTGAAATAAGCTGACAAAGACTTAGGGCAAAAAAATAAGGTTTTGAGTAGAATTGAAGAAAACATTTTGATAATAATATCAAAGAAATTCCGAGATGCCATTGAAACCATTTAATTATTTAAACATGTTTGTTATTCCTTTTTCTGTAACTTCTTCTGACACTAATCGAAAATTTCAGAAAATTAACCTATAGTTTAAAATGTTTAAAATATGAGACTTCAAACGATACACTGGCACATAGTAAATTCTTAACATTTCAAAATGAATAATGAATGATCTGTATTAGGAAATGAAATCTTTATATGATACACACATACAGTTGTAAAACTTGGTTTTCTCCATAATCAATAATTGGCTTTCAGAGGCAATTTAATTATGCAATGGTTGTCCTTAGTTTTATTATACTTTATAATAAATGGATCGATGCTTTGTTTAGTTGACAAATACAGACATAGGTGAATTAATTTTACCTTTTTCCTTAGGCCTGTCTTCTCATGTGCTTATAGCTGTGTCTGTGTCAAATGAATTTGTGAAAATATAATCTCTTATTTTAGACAATTTCAACAATTAATAAACACTGTGAAGTTGTTATTCCATGACTGTTTGAGATGGAAAACCAGCCGTTTTGGGTATCATTCACATACTGGCTAAAGACATACATTTATTTATGCATTTGCTGCCCTGTGTCTCCTCTGCATTTATTATATTAGCAGTTTCAGTTTAAAGTTTATTTTTCTGTAATTCAGATTCCTTGCTTCTTATGCTGGTTGTCATATGAATATGCCTTTCTAAGATTAGGATAAAACTCTCTTCTTGGTGTTTTCTTTCAGTCCTATCTTGAGTTATTTTTAATCAAAATGCTAGGCTGAGGTCAACTGATTGTAATTTGTTTATAAGGAAAAAATGGAAGGTGACCTGAAGAATTTTCTCTCCTCCCTTTACCCAAAAGTATTTATTCTTATTTTGAAATGAGAAATTCCTTCAGAATTTCCCAAGATCAAAGAGGGCTATCTCACTGACAGCTAAGACCCTGTTGTCTTCATCTGTAACTTGGCTAGTCTTATCCAAAAGAGGCCTCTTCTGGGTTGGAATTGCATTTAGTTTTAAATAAACAATTATGCAGAAAGTGCTTCTTCCATCTTATTAAAATTTCAGAGTTAGAAGAAAAGGCATCTGAAGTTTCCAAGTAGAACTATAACAGACCTAGTGTTTTTTAGTATCCCCATAAGTAAGCATTCTAGCATAAGGGAGGGTTTGCTGGTTGCTCATTGAATGTTGTCTTGGCCACTCACAGACCAACACATGATGAGTGTGAGATAAACTCTTTGGTCTAAAGAGAGAAAACATAAGAGTCTGCAGCTGTAACATGTCTGCTGACCCAAGCTGGAATGCTTTAGTGTATTGTGTCACCTAGTGAGTTTTAGGATTTCCCTCCCCACTTATGAGTTTTCCACCTCAGGTTAAAGGAATGTGGGATATTAAGGAGAATTATTAAGAGAGAAAGGGCAAGCATTTGGAAATGCAAAACCTAGACAAGGTGGAGATGATTTACTGGAGTCAGAGAGGAATTAATAGCGTATTAATATCAACATCATTATGGCCCACATGCATCTATCATGCTCTCTAGTATTGTGTCCAAGGTCCATAGATGGTCACTGTCTTATTATATCCCTGATCATACTAGCTTCACCAGACTTTCAGGTCACCCAGGGGCTACATCTCTTAGACAGCAGAATATTAAGATAATGGAAAACAATAATAAGTTATGACAGTGTGTGAAAAACATGAAAAAGATTTTATATTCTCTCATGATAGATGTGATTCAAGATGCTACTGCAATAAATTAAACAATACATATGCTTTTTTGCAAGGATAACCCCATGTGTTTTCATGGTCTAACGAAGTTAGACAGCATTGTTATTTGTGGCTTGACACCTCTGCAATTGCTCCTTTTTAAAGTCGCAAAATGAATGTACAATAACTAACCATGCGTTAGACCGAAGGAGAGTTTGAGAATTTTTTCAAGGGGCCTTCACTAATGAAGCAAGCTGTCTCATTTGGGGATCTGTAAGCAGCAAAGATAAACATTGCCTAAGACATTTCTGTTGAAATGGCGTAAAACACATGGATTACTTACTTCTTCAGGGATTTTAAATACTTGGAAACAATGCAGTGAACACAGATATTACTGTGAAGAACATTTCAGCAAATGAGTTTACAAAATGGATGAAACCGAAGAAGCGTCTTATGTTTATAGCTTCTCACCTGAAGAGATTAACTATATGGGTGGACCTCATCAACGTTTGAAACTTTCTTTCCAAGAGGTTTTTCCTGTAGAATTTTAGGACTTTCTGGGAAGATGCATGACAGATGCATGCCATTGTTGATGGTGTGGGTCACTGTGGAAACTGCCCTAATGAGGCCATTATGCTGCCTATTTGTGATATTTGGTTATGAGTTGATGACAATATTGTAGAGAAAATAGACACTCAAGCTGCTGAAAAATTTTACAGGTTGTCATCAATTATCACTTAGAACTTTTTTCTCAATTTTCTGAGTGAATGAGGATTGTGTTTAAAAAGATACTTTCTGCCTCATTTCTTCTCCAGTTATTTTGAAAAAGCTCAGGTACTGATTTCTTAGGAAAAGAGGAAAGCAGGGAAACTAGAGGCGGGAATTTGTGCTGCACACAACCTAGCCACGAATCTGGGTGCACCAGCCCTTCGGATCTGGGCAGGTAAGCATTTGCCCAGGTATCAGGCTGCCTGTGTGGCTCCACAGAACAAAGATGGGGAAGCAGAGGCATCAGCTTCTCTTATAGCACAGCACACAGCCTTCCAGGAGTGGATACACACTTTCTTTCTATTATTAGCCCAAATAATTATCTCAACTCAATAGAAAAAATAGCAATCTGTGCCTGATTGTCCTGAAAATGTTTCATTAATTTACTTGTATTCAGTGAATATAAAACCATAGTTGGTGGTTTTTCAGTAAGTACAGAAAACATATTTGGTGGGTTGTTTTCCATGCAGAGTGTAAATATTGTAGGGCCAAAGTCTTAGTTATCTGTTTTTTTTGCTGTTGGGTTTTTTTTTTTTTTTTTTTTTTTTTTTTGGAGACAGAGTCTCGCTCTGTCACCCAGGCTGGAGTGCAGTGGCGCGATCTCTGCTCACTGCAAGCGCCACCTCCCAGGTTCACGCCATTCTCCTGCCTCAGCCTCCCAAGAAGCTGGGACTACAGGCACCCACCACCACGCCTGGCTAACTTTTTTTTTTTTTGTATTTTTAGTAGAGACGGGGTTTCACCATGTTAGCCAGGATGGTCTCAATCTCCTGATCTCGTGATCCACCTTTCTCGGCCTCCCAGAGTGCTGGGATTACAGGCATGAGCCACCACGCCCAGCCTAGTTATCTTTTTGATGGAATAAAACTACAGAGGATAGATTCCAGTGTCAGTAAGACAAAGAGTTTCTGCTTCTCTGAGGAAGTAAGTTTGCTATGTAGACACACACACAGAGAAAATGGTCAAAAGTTGCTTTTATAAACTCCAATAATCAATTTTTTTACATTAACACCTTACTCCATGAAGATCACAGTATATGAATACAAAATAATATGTATGAATGTTGATTTGTGGAAAAAAATCTTAGAGTTATCACTCCCTCCTTTTTCCAAATTCTGTGTATTGTCTGTTGAAACAGTTCATGCTTATGATTCTAATACATCATTTCCATGGATCTCCCCCTCAGCTTAGTCTCTTCATGTCTCACTTGGATTATTTTGAAAGTCCCATGATCGAACTTCAACTTTTGAAGCTTTCCCTAATTAAATAAATGCTTAGCAAAGTCCTCAGTTAATGTTCTTTAAAGTGCTATTCTCTTCTTGTTCCATGCTCAGTTGATGAATCTCAGACACTAACCCCATAGAGCAGTTCTCAAATTCACAAGCCACCTAATGCCCACTGCCATACGTAAGAAGGTGGTCTAGTAAATTTTGGAGTAAAGGCAATATATATTTCACAAAATCAAAATGTAAGATCAATTACAATTCAGCTAATATTTAATTAGGATATAAGGCATCTCAGTGAATGCATTTTTAGTTTCTGAAGTATGTAATTTTTTTTTTAGATTTGTACTTAGCTATTCTTACTAAATTTCGGAAAGTTCCTGCTTTATGGACATGAATCAGTGACTCTAAATGGTTCTTTGAGGTATAAAAACAAAGATAGTAACAAATACAAATTTCACAATCTGAACTAGAAAACATTACTAGTGACCACAACTCAAATACTAATATAAAAAGCATCTTTATTAACCTGGGGTAAAAGCTTCTCTGCGTGGGGCAATTTTACCCAGGCAACTGAACAGGCGGTGCGGGATGAATGTTTGAAAATTGGAACTAACTTGGACGCACTCATCCCCATTTTCCATGCCTGCTGTGCACTCCTGCCAGATGGGAACATGATGTCATATTTTCAGTCAGTTTTCAAACAAAATGGGGATAATCTAATATTTTCTGGAATAACCATAGAATAATGTTTTCCAATGTGAACTTGGTGAATTTTATGAATGAAAGAGAAGCAGATATTGGATCCACACAGCCATCATTGAAGGTGGTACACCTAACATCAAAAACTTCTGTGCAGGACCGGGCACGGTGGTTCACGCCTGTAATCCCAGCACTTTGGGAGGCTGAGGCGGTTGGATCACCTTGAGCCCAGGAGTTGGAGACCAGCCTGGGCAACATCAAAACCCTGTCTCTATTAAAAAAAGAAAAAAAGTTTCATGCCGCTGTTACGGACTAGGAATGTCTAAAATCCATCACAAAGTTAGTATTTTGCTTGGAGGGGCAAGTAGAATGAGCTTTTGGAAAGTTTCTTTAACAATTCTTTGATCTAGTAATTCCTGAAAACCTTTGAGGCTGGTGAAAATACTTTTTCATGTAGGGATGAATCATTCTGTGAGTCCTGGCGTAAGTCAGCCAGAAACTCATGATGGGAGCTTTTGATGAGGGGATATGAGGTTTAAAAATGGAAATCAAAACTTTCTTCACGACACTGATAATTCCTATAAAGGCCATTTCTGTGTGGGATGACATGTACAATTAACATAAATGACCCTGCTTCCAAGCTCACTGAATTTTTTCGCCAGTGCCCTCAGACCTCCGTCTTTGCTCCTAACTCAGATTGTCTTGAGTCTTCTGTAGAGAGAAAAGGGGATCATTGCAGAGACTGTGAACCAAGGCATTAATCTTCACTTCTGAAGTCCAAAAGCATCTTTTGGTCTGAGGTAGAAAAAGTTTGAAAGGGAATTGAGCAGGCTAAAGGTGTTTTAATTTTTCTGCTATCTCGCAGACTAGGAACCCTCAGCAGGACTGCATGATAGGATGCATAGAGAGGTGGGGACTGCCCTGAAGCTCTGCTCTCAAGCAGAGCCTTGCCGGTGGTGGCTTAATGGAAGTCTTCACTGAAGCTCAGGGATCTGAGTGGGCACTCTCATGTGTGTAGTGGAAAGGAGGACGCCAGTCTCCAAGAGCAGCCTGCACGGCATCCTCGTTGTGCTGCGGCACATTCAGTGACAGGACTGGACGCCCTGCTGCAGCTCTGGTGGCCGGTGAGGACAGCCCCAGTTATCCAAGGACACCCTGAGGTACCAAAGGCAGGTGAGCAAGACCATGTTCCTGCCTGAGGTCTGGCAGAGGGAGGAGAAAGGGTCACCAAAACGTTGTGGAGAGCACTGTCCCAGCCTGGGATGGGAGGACTTGGCTCCATCGGCAGCAGGTCGCCATCCCTGAGGACAGTGCAGTGCTGACCTCTACTTGGGGCTTGAACACACTCCCCTCCCCGCTTTACCAAGGCAATTAGCAAAGCCAGAAGAGACCAGAGTTAACTCTGGGGATGAAGGGGAAGTAAAAGAACCCCTGAAGGAATTTTCAAGGGTCTGCGACCAATACAGACACGAACTGACAGGCTTATCCCTTAACTGGACAGAGACACCTGCTGTGACTACTTCCAGTCTGTGTATCAGCCAGAATTCCAGCTCCTACTAGAAAGCTTTCTGGGTTATGGAGAAATGAAGTTACATTTTCCCTCATGAGTTTGTGATTTAAAAATTTATACCTGCAGAATGATTCTGACGGATTTGCTCAAGTGGCTTTTGTCAGGGTTATAGTCCGTATCTTCTCTAGCCTCAAATTAATGTGATGTTGTTGAGGATGACTTAAAATTTTCTTTGAAAGTCTGAAACATGATGCAGAATGCTTGCACCAAAAGAGTTTTACATTTTCCCCACGCTTGTACTTACTAGAGCCAAGTACATCAAAGGTGTGGATTAAAACCCGTGATGCAGGGAACTCTGACACTTGTGATAACATGGATGAACCTGGAGGACATTATGTTAAGTGAAATAAACCAGGCACAGAGAGACAAATACCATATAGTCTCACTTACATGTGGAATTTAAAGACAGTGCTCACAGGAGTAGAGAGTAGCATGGTGGTTACCAGAGGCTAGAGGAGAGGGTGGATAGGGAAGGGGGAGATGTTGGTCAGTAGGTACATAGTTTTGGGTAGATAGGAATAATAATTTCTGTTGTTCTTTTGCACAGCATAGTGAATGTAGTTAATAAGTGTTGTCTGTTTTGAAATATATGAGAGGATTTTAACTATTCTCACCGCTAAAAGAATGATACATATTTGAGGTGACTGATATGCTGATTAGCCTGATTCGATCATTTTACAGTGTATGCATGTATCCAAACATCACATTGCACCTCTTAAAAATGTACAATTATTATTCATCAATTAAAAATAAAATTTAAACATGGGAGTTAGCAAACTTCTGCTGTAAAGAGACAGATGGAAAATGATTTTGGTATTGTGGACCATGTAAGGTCTCTGTTACATTTCTTTTTTTTCTTTTTTCTTTCTCTGTCTTCCTTCCCTCCCTCCCTCCCTTCCTTCTCCTCCTCCTTCCTTCCTTCCTTGCTTTTTTCCTTTCCTCTTTTTTTCTTTTCCCCTCTTCTCTCTTTCTCTT
The DNA here is from genome assembly GCF_000001405.40 of Homo sapiens. Lineage (NCBI taxonomy): Eukaryota > Metazoa > Chordata > Mammalia > Primates > Hominidae > Homo > Homo sapiens. Next base: position 39,256,805 of record NC_000009.12, on the reverse strand, counting down.
TCTCTTTTTGAAACACAGTCTTGCTCTGTTGCCCAGGTTTGGAGTACAGTGGCAAGATCACAGCTTAGTGTAGCCTCAACCTCTGTGGGCTCAGGTGATCCTCCCACCTCAGCCTCCCGAGTAGCTGGGACCACAGTCACATGTCATAACACCCAGCGAACATTTATATTTTTTGTAAAGATGGGATCTCATTATGTTGCTCAGGCTGGTCTTGAATTCCTGGGCTCAAGCAGTCCAGCCACCTCAGCATCCCAAAATGTTGGGATTACGGGCCTGAGCCACCATACCCAGCCCCCGCCCTCTTTTTTTTTTTTTTTTAAACGCAACGCTTTACAAATGTAAAACCATTCTTAGTTCTCTGGCTGTGTAAAGCAGGTCATAATCTAGATTTTGGCTGCCAGATCTAATCTAGATTTTTACTAAGCCTGCATGCTAAATATGTCTGGCACTTTCCCTTAAAAAGCTCTCAGCATTTATCACATGCCAGTGTGCTTACTAGGTATTTGTATACTTTTCTTACGGTTTGTGCAATTCTAACTTCCTTGAAGGAAGTGTGCTATCTTATCCTTAGTGATTAGGGATAAGCTTGGAATCATCCAGGCTCTACCCCTTACTAGCTGCGTGACTTTGGACAAATTCCTTTATCTCCCTGAGTTTTTGTTTCCTCAGTTATAAAATGGGATTAGTAAAGTACCTATCATGAAATAGTTAACTTGAGTAAAATAGGTTGTGAAGATTAAATGAATTAATACACATAAAATAATTAGGTTATGTTACGCCAATGTTCAGAGCAGATGTATCCGCAAGAGCCAAAAGAGAAACAACCCAAATTTCCATTGATGGACAAACGGAGAAGCCTAGTGCAGTGTAGGAAGAAAATTCTGGCCCGTACTGTAACACAGATGAACTTTCAAGACATTATGCTAAGGAAAATAAGCTAGACACAAAAGGACAACTACTACGTTACTCATTTATATGAGGTACCTAGAGTAGTCAAATTCATAGAGACAAGAAATAGAATAGTTGTTGCCAGGGGCTGGTAATGGAGGTTATTGTTAGTGGGTTCAGCGTTTTCATTTGGGAAGGTGAAAGAGCTCTAGAGATGGATGGTAGTGATGGTTGCACAACGTGAATGTACTTAATGCTACTGAACTTTACATATAAAACAGTTCAAATGGTAAATTTCATGTGATGTGTATTACCATAATTAAAAAATTAGTATATGATCTGATCCAAAGTAGCTAAAATCTACTGAGTGCTGCTGAAGCAAAAATTATAATTAGTAGATTTTTTTTATTTGTTTTGTTTTGTTTTGGTTTTTGAGATGGAGCCTCACCCTGTCACCCAGGCTGGAGTGCAGTGACATGATCTCAGCTGACTGCAACCTCCGCTTCCTGGGTTCAAGTGATTCTCCTGCCTCAGCCTTCTGAGTAACTGGGATTACAGGTGCGCGCCACCACGCCTGGCTAATTTTTTGTATTTTTAGTAGAGTCGAGGTTTCACCATGTTGGCCAGGCTCAACTCCTGACCTCATGATCCGCCTCGGCCTCCCAAAGTGCTGGGATTACAGGCCTGAGCCACCGCGCCCGGCAATTAGTAGTATCAACAGTGGGAGTAAAAGTGGCAGTTAAGCACATTGTTTCACAACATCTAGCTCAGAGCCATGACAAAGCAAACATTAAATAATATGTATAGGTGGAATTAAACTTAAGCTTCTGTAGTAGAATAATTAAGAATAAAACATGAAATAATGCCAGGTAATGTCAGTTGTTACCAAAGAAATGTCCAAACTCTGAAAGAGCTTGTTAAATTAGGTTATGGCAGCCCACGGTGCAGGGGAGGGGACCGTCAGGTGATGTTTAAGTAGTTTACATGGACTGAATCCCCTATGGTTCCATTTAAATTGGCCACCGCACTGCCAGGCATATGACATTGGCAACTTAAACTCGACAGAGAAACCTCTAAGAATAAGATTAATGCATTTCTCATTCTCTGTGTCACAATTATTCAATTTAAAAAAACAGGAAAATATCAAAAATCTTTTTATGAAATGGCTGTACCAGTTTTACCTTCTATAGTATAAATGCAATATGGCTTTTGGTGCGTTTAAATTAATTTTATAAGGAGTCGCAATCAGCTGATGAGTAGTTTTAGAATTGTTCCCATAATTGTCAACCTGGAGAGCTCTTCACTATTTTATTCATACTTCACTGAAAACTAAAGTTCAATTTTATGCCTAATTTTATACATAACGTGTTGTAAAACATCACCATTTGGGTGATGTGTGTATATGTGTATTTTCCTTCCAATAGGATATATATGTGTATTTTCTATTTTATAACTAGCTGACACAGGACCATTCTCATAATCCCATTTGATTTTTGTATTTGTCAGTAGATATAACAATCTCCCTTTGGTTCAGATTGAAAAAACGGAAAATGATGCTGATAATTCTTTGTATACCATTATTTTAGCTTTAAGCTATTTTAAGTGTGGTCCAGTACAAAAGCTGCTTAAGTCAGATACCCCAGTCTCTATGATGTGATTATTATGTATTACATGCCTGTATCAAAATATCTCATGTACCCTATAAATACATACAACTACTACATACCCACAAAAATTAAAAATTAAAAAGGAAAATAAACCAGAAAAAAGTCAGATTTTTAAAAAATTTTACATTTCATTATATTTAGAAAACTTAGCTTTATGGGGTTTTAGAGAACATGGTTTTTCTTCCATGTACCTTCCTATTTATTTTTTATGATGCTCAAAGTTGCTAAGTTTCCACATATTTTAGTAAGAATTAGCAATGCCCTGAATTCCATAGCTTTCATAAAGAATTACCTGTGTACCATCTCATCACCACCTCTTTCCTATTACAGGAAAGCAATAAGAAGATATTCTTTAGTTAATTTAGATTGCTTGCCAAAATAGTTTTAAACTGATTTGTAATTTTTCCTAAAACAGAATGAGGAATTGTATAAAGTATTAATATATATGAAATTGTCACACTACGTTTCAGATGCTTAGGAAATGTAGAGAAATTATTGTAAAATACATTTTAGAAAAGATATTGCAACAAGACGAGGACAGAAGTCTGTGAAGTGTTGTGAGGAGGGCCCAGGGAAGCAGGAGGAAGGTGGGGAGACCACAGGATGACCTGGAGCCAAAGAAGAAGGGCCCAGGTCCCAGGGTCTCTACAGCACTGCCGGCCTTCCAGCCACAGTTTTTCTCAATCTTCCTGTCATATCCCTCAAGGAAGTAAGTGGACATTGTAAAGAGCGAGTAATTATAGCACAGCAAAAATCAAAAGTCATGATTCTGGAAAGCATTATCAGTAAAAAATGGAGAAATAGTTGACATCTCTTCATGTTTCCTCTGGAAATTTCTGATTATGTATGTATACTCTTCCACTCTAATATCCAAACAACTCTCTTACTTCTTTATGCAAAGAAACATGAAAGAATGAAAAGGTTCATCACAAGTGTATGATTAATTTTGTATATATAATTTTGCAAATTAATAGATTTTAATGTGTTCAATAAATGTACATAAATACACAACACATATGTATATATCTGTGTGTGTGTATGTACTGTGTACTAAATATATACTATATGTGTGTGTGTGTGTGTATATATATATATATATATATATTTAGAGAGAGTCAGTGTGTACTTAATAGTCAAATCCAAATTTCAAGAACTTTATATTTTATATAATGGCACCAGTTTTCCTGAAGCTGAATGTATGTGTGTGTGTGTGTGTGTGTGTGTGTGTGTGTGTGTATATTCAGTTGCAGGAATATATACATATATACGGTCAGTGTGAGTGTGTGTATATATATATATACACACACACACATATGTCAGTACATACATGGTCAGTGTGTGTGCATATAAGCACACATATATGTCAGTACATATACACATATACATATATGTTAGTATATACTGACTGTATACTGACTATATATAGTCATAGTCATATATACTGACTATAGTCATAGTCATATACTGACTATATGTGTCAGTATATACATACATATATATTTCAGTATATATATGTATGTATACTGACATATAGGTATAGTCAGATTGTGTATATTCAGCTGCAGGAAAATTGGTGCCATTATATAAAATATGAAATTCTTGAAATTTGGATTTGACTATTAAACCTGACTTTGTTGTCATTAAGTTTACATTGATATTTCCTGGAATTGCACATTGCTAAATTTTTCTGCAAAACCAAGATTTCTAAAATATGATGGGGCATTTGATACAAGAAAAGGCAAATAAAGAAAAAGTAGAGCTCCATTTGTCATTCTTCTTAAGTGTCTCCTTAAGAAAACTATGTGATCCAAAGTTATTTAGACAAA